>NC_000005.10:161821930-162124960 GCF_000001405.40 Homo sapiens
TATACTTTTGTGCATGGATATATCAATTTATTATTTATTGAATTATTATTTATTTATTACTAGTATTAGTTTTCTGTTGAGGGACTGCATTTCATTTGTTTTATGTTTAATGGGTGTAGTATCATTGGACTCAAGATTGTTTAGCCATTCAACAAATATATTCCAGGTTAAATTATACCTTTCATATATATAGATATTCCAAATAACGAACATGCATGCAGAAATAAAGCAGATTATGCATAAACAGTAGAACCAAGATAACTATTATTAGCCCTTTGTCAATTCCTAATTACCAAAAAGTATTGCAACTTCACAAAACAAAAGAAAATAAATCCTCAGTAGAACTGAAAATATTCTTCGAAGTTCTAATATTTGTGTTTGTGGTTTTGGAAATCTACATATCTGGCATATATATTATAATGTAAAAAATAAAATGAAGTCAACTAAAAAGCTTTATTATTTTAAAAAGTAAAACTTGTAAAGAATGTGTTAATGTATTGTGGATACCACCCTCTTTATTGTTTTGATTTAAGCACTTCAAAAATGATGTTTCAATTGGGTGCCACCACCACAATTTATAAGGGTTTTGGTCTTTATTCGTTTATTCAATATGCTACCGAACTTTGAAATTTAAGAAACTGTGAGATGGAACAAAACAATGCACTATTTGTTATTTGAGAAAGCAGTAACTATAAGACTGCTGTCAGTTCTGGCAAACGAGATCACACTTGTGAAGGTACAGGAATAGGTTTTTTAAAGTCTCTATTCATAATTTTGATAATATGCAATACTTCCTGGACTCAGGACAACAGAAGTGAGGAAATAGAATATACATGCAATAAAGAAGAAGCCACAGTGAATATATTTATTTTTTTGTTGAACATTATCATTTCTTTCTCAGAATCCTTTGCTTTCTTTCACAAGACCACTGGAATGTCTGCAAATAACATACATGAAAATAGTGTTCTAATGAATTAATTACTTCAGGAAAAGGATCACAGACTTCAGCATAGTTATGTGAATTCCACTAGAGAGCAGATATTTGTGGGAAGTGTCCTTGTTTTACTTGTTCTCTTCTGTAAACACTGCATCTGAATCAGTGGAGCAAGCCAGGGAGAATCTTGGCATTTGTTGGACTAATGAATGATGCATTGAGTATGCAACTTAAAGTTAAATGAAAATAATAGTATTATTTTCAATGGTTACCACATTTGTTGCATTTTCCAATCTGTTTTTTTCCTCTGGAAATATATAGCCATATATTTCATTTTTGGGGAACTTTTCATGAATAAGGTGTAGACACATTGTTCCCTCACCCCAAACAGTACGGTATGTATGTTCCACAAATAACACTTTCTTGAATAACTATACTATAACTCTCCAGTTCAGAAAATAAAAATTGGTACAGTATTACCATTTGAACCTAAATTCCCATTCAAATTTTGTCAATTGCTTTAATAATGAGAACTTTATCTTGTTGGCTTTGGGTCTATCCAGAAAAGCAAGTTACATTAATTAATTGTTGCAACAGATTCTTTCATCCTGAATCAGTTCCTCAGTGTCTTTCTATCTTACATGTCATTGACAAGTTTAAAGGGGACACGCCCTACATTCTGGAGGATGACCCTTGACGCGGATCCATCTAATGCTTCTTCGTGTCCTGACTAAGGTCATGCATTTTTGGCAGGAGTGAGTTCCATGGAAATGAGGTGGCACGTTTCTTGGTGCATCACCTTAGGAGACACATGATATAGACCAGTCCTTCCCCTGGTGATTTTAACTTTAACCACTTGGAGACACAGGGTCTACTAAGTTCTTACACCTTACAATCACCATTTTTCCATTTGAATTATTAGTATATTGTAGGGCAGTATTTCACAATCATGCCATAAATTTATTCCTCAGTGAACCACCACTAAATGGCTTTCATATCCACTGACAGTACCTGCTTTAACCAACCATTATCTCTGATGGCTGCCAAGTAGCAATTCTCTTACTCCTATTATTCCTTTAAAATTCATTGGCATTCCATTGTAAATAAAAATTGTATCCCTACATTTCTTTATTTTTATATATAATAGACTAAATATAATATATAATGATTCTAATAATTAACTCATTTATGATGACAGTATAAAATCATGAGCTTCTATTTTATTCGTTAGGGTTGCAATACATTTTTGCCATTGGCTATTTTAATGCCAAAATCATCCCATTCAAACTAGCTTCTATATAGTTTTGACATGTCCCCAACATTCATTGAACATTGCCATAATGTCAGGTGCAACAGAATGTTGCAATCATGCTTTTCCCGCCCTTGTCCTGGAATCAGTCATTTCTCCAAGAAGCTCTGGCTCCTTTTAGTGAGGACAGCATTTAGAAGCTAAGATTATGGCCCTTGCCATGCTCAATTGTTACAGGGGTGTCATTGCTTCTAGGCCCTTTCAATGGACAGAGCTTGTATATAAATGTATACGAATGCATATACAACTATAAATATTTGTTGAATATGTACATTATAAAATCATAAGCCCATAGTGAAACCTCCAATTTCAATCCAATACCTCATGCTTGTTTTCATTATTATATTTTCTTTGTCTATTAATAACTTCTTTTGCTTTGAAAGGTTCCATTTTATTCTAAATGCAGTTACTTACTTGCTCAGTGTAACCAAACTGTAGCTGTGAAGGCCTCCTTTCTGTCTTTGCCGATCTCCTCCCAGCACTCCCACTGTTGGTCACCAAGCTTCTGGTCAGGTTATCTGTGTGGATCTCTAATCCTCCCTAAATGCCCTGCATCCCTGGTCACCATCAATCCTGCCAGCCCACACCTCATGTAGCTCTCCAATTTTCCTCTCTGTCACCACCTCACATTCTACTTTCCATGTGTTCTCCTCCACATGGTAAAGATTAACAAAAACTGGTAAACATGTTTTAAAAGTTTTTTGTTCATTGATGATTACTTCGCAAAAGATTCATTAAACATAGCCCATCTGTGCCTTCTTAGAATACCAACTAAAAAAATAAAGAAAAAAAGAAGAAGGAAAAATTCTAGCTCTTTCTTTTTTATTTTTGGGTCACATTATTTGAGTCATCTAAAGAAATAATTCTGCAGCTGTGCTTAAGACTTTATCTCTTTGCAGGTCGAGCCTCAGAATACTAATTAAATTTAAAAAGTGTTTATTGTAGTATTCAAGAAATCTGTCAATTGTAACACCTGGTGTTAGAGTTAAAATGTTGTGATATAAATATTAGTTATATAAGCACTTGTAAGTTGCTTTTTTGAGAGCATTCATATAAAATTTTATGATTTTTTAAAAAATAGAATACCAAGTGACCATATATATTATATGCAAGGTATAGTCCTTACTTAGGGCAGATTTACTGCCCCCATTCAACAAGAGAACATTGAGACAAATGTATCAAATAGTTTCCTAAAGTCTCAGAAGTGTCCAACTCTTACAATTTCACTACATAATGCTGCTAACTCTAACATGAAACATGTATCTAGAGATTATCTTCTCTTTTCTTCAAAACATAAATAGTATTGTGATGATATTCAGATAAAATATTTTTATCCATAAATAATAGAACATGCCATTCAAAGAGGGTCTGAGGAAATTTATTACCTCATACAACAGGAAACCCAGTGCCAGTAACGGTGAAGACGCTAAGATTTTACTCTGCTAGATCAGCTTTTGTGTTGATTTTAACTGCACACTGGTTCAGACAATGCCCTTACATGAAGTTGGCTGCATTACAGGAGAGAAACTCGAAACTTAGAAAACAAGTCTTCTTCAATGGACGGTAATCTTGCCTAAAGTTTTTTTGTTTTGTTTTGTTTTTTGTTTTTTTTGTTGTTGTTGTTTTGTTTTTAGGTAAACATTATCTTTACCACACTGAAAACAGTAAGCAAAGCCGCCGTTGGTTCCAGAATGAGACACTATCTGTATCTTTCAAACTCTTTTGCTATACAAACATCCTTGAAAAAAATGATCAGAATCAAAAGCAGTAAGTGCCTTTGCCTGCACAGAGATTTAAAGATATTCAAGATACCTACAGAAAATTAGACACAAGCTTCAGCTTGATTTTAGAGTTCATATAGCAAATCAGCAATATTATCATGGACCCAGATGCTCAGTACTTTTGTCCTCTTTTCTCCTTAGGATATTGGCAGCTGTTACTTACGTTTGCAAGATGTGTTCATCAGTTTCTTGGTACCATATTGGCATATGCCCACTGTAAGTGAAAAAGAAGGGTGTTCCTACTATTACATGTTTCCTGTGGGTAAAGCCACATAGATAGATTTTCCTGCATGTCTCTCTTCAGTATTGGGCCATACATTCATTCCTAATCCCCAGGTACCAAAGGGTATGAGACTGATCATGATTGTCAGCCTCCATTTTCCGTTCTGAGCCATTTAAGGGCCAATATCCAAATAAACTGAGGTACTATGGCAAAAAAAAAAAAAAAAAAAGTAGACAGACGAGGCAACCAGCTGAGACTTTCAGGCTCATGGATTCCAGAAATGTTGCTGCTTCTATGCTCTATAAATTTAAAAAATTTCTTTTGCAGCACAGCAGTAGAAAATGGCCTTTCTTTTCCACACAGATTAATAGAATATGAGCAATTACAGAAACCTTATATTTGGGGCAAACCATAACTAGGGAGCTAGGTGGGTCATGCAGCTTCATCCTAGGGTCTGATAGTTTAAGATTCTTACGCCATTTACAGGGATTCAATTCTAGATGTTTCCCTCGTTTTTACCCTGAAGACAAGTGACAATATATATTAGCATTACTATCTCTTTAAGGAACCTTTCTCAAGCTTCTGTTCTAAAGTGCTTCTTCTTATTTATATCTTTAAAAATATGAGTAGGACTGCTCCTTCTTATATTCGCTTGTGAGCGTATCAGTATCTTCTTCATCAACAAGTCATCTCTTGAATTACCAGAGAGCCAATTAGTATGATTCTGAGAGCAACTTATGTTTGAATGGTCTCTAAAAATGTGTTTTATGGAAGGAAAGTGAAAAATATCCATTTGATTAATTTAATCACTAAAGATGAAACTTCTTTTTCTTAAAAGTCAATACTTTCCCTCCAGTAGTTTGGCTCTTCTTTTTTGCTAAGCTAAACTTTTATATCCAAGAGTTCTGAAACACATACCCTACTGTGATATAATGGGATCTTATGAAACTGGGTTACTAAGTATTTCTAGAAACCTAAAGAAGATTCGTTAATCTTTTAACCAGAAAAGCCTTAGCAGAATACGATAAAGGCCTTTTTTACTACTTGAAAAGAAGAATGTGTTCTCATGTCTCTCTTCCTTAAGAGAAGTAACTACCTAAATTTTTCTATCTGGTTTTAAAATTCTGGTTTGCATTATGTTACATTTAGTTACTAACAGAGGACTTTTTAGTCTTTGATCTTGGACACTGGTTCAAATGTTTCTTTTGCTGTTTTTTTGTTAGAACTCTTTTCAAAATCATGGCCAGAGATAAAAGCCTACACATTGGGTATCGTGTATACTGCTTGAGTGATGAGTGCACAAAAATCTCAGAAATCACCACTAAAGAACTTATTCATGTAACTAAACACCACTTGTTCCCCAAAAACCTATTGAAATAATAAACAATAACTAAACAAATTTTTTAAAAATCATAATTTTGCTTTCTACGAAAAAAAAAATCAGAAAGTAAATGTGTCCTAGTTCACATAGTCACCTATTGACTTTGCAGAAGGGAGAAAAATGGAATCCTAAAACAGATCTTTCTCCTAGAATAAGTTGCCTTAGAGTACATCAACTAGTAAATTTTGAAGTAGGGTTCAGAAAGCCCTACTTAGCCTCTATTACTGTGTGACACTGAAAAAGTTACTTAACTTCTCTGGTGTTTTTGTTTCCTCACCTGTGAAGCACAGGCATTACATTAAATGCTCTCTAAGAATCATCATTCCATACAGACTTATTTCAGAATCTGTGGGACTTTTATGATTTGCATTACTTTTATAAACCAGTAGTCAGTATGTTTCCTAGATATGAGAGAATGCCTCTAATTCTCAAAAAGTTTTGTTTTGTAATGTTTTAATGATTCAGTTCCATGATTTTTATTCCAGTGTTTTTATCTCCATATGTGCAAAACAAAGACTGAGCTTCCTGACCCACCTTCCTAAAAAACAAGCTATCTATTTCTGCTTTTCTTCTTACTGATCCTATTGCTCTTTTGAAAATAACAAGTTGAATTTAATTGGAGTAAAATTAGATTTATATTCAGTAGTGTTCTTTTCTATTGAATTTGCTCTCTAAGAGACAAGCAAAACTTTTAATAGAATAATGATAGTAGTAATATGCACCACTAGCCACTACAAATTCCCTTTGGAAACAAGTTGAAGTACAAATAAAAATAAGAAAAAATATATTTTCTATAAGCAACCTATTTTAGAGTAATATATTTCTAAAATATCCATTTGTTATTTTCTAATTAACATACGTATTTATTAAGCTCACTAGGTAAGCAAAACCGTCACTCTATTTTTCCCTCCAGTCTGTTTACTCAGTGTCCGCCATGGTCAGATGAAAACGATGATACTTTCTGCCAAAAATTCTTGTGAGTGGTGGTTCCTGGATATACTATTTAGCATGAAATGATGCATTTTATGGGCTTAAAAGAAAACAATATTCCTAGAGAAATAATTTCAGAGACAATAGTCTTTAAAAAAATATATAGATGGTGGTCAAAACCACATGGGTGCACCTGAATACTAATTCCTTCTACGCTGACTGATTTCTCTCAGAAATTTACTTGGCAGAATAGAGGTGATGAGAATTGTGGCTAGGATATAAATGATAGCAACAACCACTATTACAATGAGAAAGACAGTTTACCTACAACCATCCCAACAAGAAGACCCTGATAAAATCTAATTCCTCAGCTTGGAACCACACTCAGAAGTATTTTACAGCCCTTCCTAAAAGATCACAAAGTAAACGTTCCACAGTGAAGATGGGGGATTGTTCAAAAGCTCACAACCTCCTCAGAATTTAGTGTGGTAGGAAGTTGGGCCAGGAGCTAATGAAGAGGGATACGGACTATTAAAAAAAATTAGACATGCTAAAGGATCCTAAGGCTGTTACTGTTTCCGAAAAAGTGATTACTTCCTTTGAAATCAGGGCTATACAGATTTTCACTGATGCAAAACCACTGGCACTTTAGTGTAAATGGTACTACTTTGTTGAAAGTGATCTTGGCTTCAGTCACAATGCCCAAGTGGGCATAGTGATAAATGTCACTGTGTGCTGTCTCTAACCAGCTTCTAAACGCTAGGAAAGGGGAGCCCTGGGAAAACGCAAACTTCCTTGACTACGTAGAATAGACTATGCTCTTGGCTGGGTGCGGTGGCTCACTCCTGTAATCCCAGCACTTTGGGAGGCTGAGGTGGGTGGATCTTGAGGTCATGAGATCGAGGCCATCCTGGCCAACATGGTGAAACCCTGTCTCTACTAAAAATACAAAAATGAGCCAGGTGTGGTGGCGTGAGCCTGTAGTCCCAGCTACTCAGGAGGCTGAAGCAGGAGAATCACTTGAACCTGGGAGACAGATGTTGCAATGAGCCAAGATCGCACCACTGCACTCCAGCCTGGGTGACAGAGTGAGACTTCATCTCAAAAAAAACAAAAAAAAAACAAAAAAAAAAAAACAAAAAAAAAACCAAACGAACAAACAAAAAAAAAACAAGAATAGACTATGCTCTTATCCTGAGGTACTAAAAGGTCTGCAAAGTGGCAGAGAAACAAAAACTGTCTTCAATGTGGAAGCTGCTGTTAGTGGGAAGATCTGATTAAATCAAAGAGGTGTCTGCAACTTTGTGCACTTATAAAAGGGTTGTTCTTAAATAAAATTGGAAAACGGGAGGATATTTTTAAATTTTTAATTCATGGAAATTATTTCCTCAAATATGAGCTTTCTTTTGGTTTAACAGTGAATGTTCTTAATTTCCTTTGATGTTGGTTATGTTCATGGAATGGGCATTGTTGCATGAATAAACACCAGTGGCTTTTTATTAATAAGTCAGAGAAGTGACTGCTGTAGTAGTTTGGGCTTTCTTATATTTGTTTATTGAATCCCACAAATAAGCTCCCTTATCCATCCTCCATATTGATGCCAGGAGGTCATTCAAGAACACAAATACAATCCTGTTTATCTTTGCCTACAACTGCTTAATAATTCCATGTTGCCTAGTGTACAGTGCCTGTATTCCTTAGATTGCTACAAAAAGCCTTTCACAATTTGGCCTTTGTTTACCTCTCTACATATGTAACTCTGTTCCAGGACAACATATCCACCCTTGAGACAAATTCACTCCTGTTTTCCAGCTGTATCAAGCATGCTGAAGTTCTTGGGAAACATGATATTTATATCTCTTTTCCTTTATTACACTTTCAATCTGTATTATATTTCCATTTTTCCCTCTAAGAAACTTCTATTCACCCCTCAAAACTTAATTTAGCATCTTCTGAAAAGCCTTCCATGACATAGAATCAATCACTCTTCATCTTCCCACATCCTCAGTATCTAGGGCAATCTCTAGCACATGGCAACTTCTTTTTTTTTTTTTTTTTTTTTTTTGAGACGGAGTCTCGCTCTGTCGCCCAGGTCGGACTGCGGACTGCAGTGGCGCAATCTCGGCTCACTGCAAGCTCCGCTTCCCGGGTTCACGCCATTCTCCTGCCTCAGCCTCCCGAGTAGCTGGGACTACAGGCGCCCGCCACCGCGCCCGGCTAATTTTTTGTATTTTTAGTAGAGACGGGGTTTCACCTTGTTAGCCAGGATGGTCTCGATCTCCTGACCTCATGATCCACCCGCCTCGGCCTCCCAAAGTGCTGGGATTACAGGCGTGAGCCACCGATGGCAACTTCTTAGTAGTTATTTTATTTATGTAGATATTATTTATGACAACACTTTTCAGGATTTTTAATCATCAAATGTACCTGCAAAACCTTTAAGAAAAATGTGGAATATGCAAATGTATCAGGAATTATGTCCATTTTCTGTTAAATAGCAGAGACCTGGCTACAATGGCTTAAACCATTACCATTTTACTTTCCTACCAAACATCTAATGAAGATGTCAGTACATCAGGGCTCATATAGTAGTATCACAAAGTAAAATGAAGTTTCATTTATAAGTTTTGTTATGCTAATTTGTGGATTTTATCCTGAAAACAACCCAATGTCACAAAACTGGGCTGTTGGAGTTCCATCATTACACACAATTTCCAAGCAGAAAAATAAAACAGGGAAGTGGCAAAATGGATGCTCCTCCAAGTTCATTTAGAACCCTTTACAGGACTTTTCTCATAGTACACTCCAAAATTAGACCTACATTTCACTGGCTTCCCCAGTGAAGTAAAGGCTGAGAAATACAGGCACATAGTATAAGATTATAATCCTTCCCCAACTAACTAAATGGGGTTCTGTTACTAAGAAAGAATATCAATTCTTATAATAAATAAATAAATTTTGCCAGAGGTTTTTCAAACTATGAGAACTTATTTTCATAAAATGCTACTATCTCTAGAAACATGCATTCTTTATAACACAGTTATGAAAACACTGGTTTAGTCAATCTCTTTTAGATATATTTTCCCAGTGTAACAACATGTCAACATGTTGGTTGACAAACCAACAACAAATTGGTTTCCAATTACCCAAGAAGTAAATTTCAGATCACTGTATATTTGATATTCTATTAGATCAAAGCCTACTTTTTCAGATAATTTTATGTGTTCCCCTTGATTATGTGCATTTATGAAACATTTCCTTTGGGATAATAATAATAATCCTTTTTTCTTTAGAGATATTTTCCAGAAACTCATCCTTTTCCTTCCAAAAGACCAAAGTCTAGAAGCACCTGGAATGCAGCATGGATCAGCTATATCCTCATGCTACATGATTGATTTAGGCACTTCTACTCATCGTATTGTGTAGACATGATACATCTGTTGTCTGATGACACCATTAAAAGATAAAAAGAAAAAAGAAATGTTATGTGCTGTATTTCAGCCAATGTGTAGAGCGACACTTTTCAAACAATGCAGATAAAAACCACCAATCATTTTGTCCCATGACTGAACCTAACAATCTTTGAAATACTGCAACTCTCTATCAACTGATGACAAAGCCGTCTGCTTCATAAGTGAAGGAACATCTGCGGCATAAAGATGCTTCATTACAATATGGGCTGCATATTGCACAAATATCCTGGCTCAGGAGCTGGGTAGTTCCAAGGTTCAACTCCTGGCCCAGGCATTGGCTAGCTGGGAAATCCCAAACAAAGGACTTCACTTCTGTGAGCATTCATTTCTGTCTCTGAAAGGAGCACTGCAGCATTTTATTGAGCACTTTTGAAGTTTAGAAAAAATATGTAAAGCAGTGAGCTTAGTTCTTGGAAGATGAGTCTCTCAATAATTTGTTGGGTTTTTTGTTTGTTTGTTTTTCTTCTTGTCTTCTGCCTCCTCCTTCTCTTTTTCCTTATATTTATATTTTATTTTAGTAGCATCAGAAGTATCTATGTTTTAGTAGTAATAGAAACAGTGTAATTAGTTGTAATAATACTTAGTTCTATTTCAGAAGTTTCTAAGTAAAGGTATTTTTTTCTCATTCTGTTCTAGAAATCCATACACCTGCATTTTCCAGTGCAAATGTATTCCTTACTTTCAGAATACTCATGGCATCAATAAACTTTAAGACTTTTAAAAATAATGAGGAAAGTGAAAGAATTCATAAAGTTAAAGAGAAAGCAGCTACCCTATTTGATTACCTTACTGTGGTCTATAATTTCCAGTATGATTTTGTGCCAGCACAAAGGGCTAAATTCATTAAATATCCATTTTTTCTCATCCATTATGTCCCAGCCATACTGCTTTTCTTTCTCTTTCTGGAAAAGAAAATCAAATGTATTAAATCCTAGGGTCTCTTCTATTGCTGTTTTGTCTTTTGCTCTCTTTCCTTTCCTCTTCCCCTCTTTCTTCTTTTCCCCTCCCTCTCACTCCTTTTCACTCCCTCTCCTTTTCCTTGTCATCTGACATGTCCTTTCCCAAAAATTCTACATTGAAGACCTTATACCAAATGTTATCACTTCATAAAGACTTTTCCTGACTATTATAATTAAAGAAGTGTTAGTTTATTTCACTGTCCTTCTTATTTAGCTTCATAGTATATATAACCATCTGGAATTTATACAAACACACACACACACACATTCACATATTTGTTCCTGTTTCTGCTCAGTACCAAGAGAAGAAGGAAATTGACAGTCATAGTCAGAACTGTATTCCTGGTAAGTAGAATAATATCTGTCACATAGAGGGTGCTTACTATATGAATAAATGAGTTAACGCTAAGTGTGTCTTTATTAAACAGGAAGAAAGGAAATCTCAGGCTATTTTTTAGTTTTCCCTTATTGAGTTATTTTATCTTCTTATCACTTTATCTGACTGCATTGTATCAAGAGCTATGCAATGTCTAATGCCTTACCCTACTTGCAAGCTAACACTTTCTCTTCCTGCAGTTTCATAACTGCTGGAAGAAGATGCAAGACTTCTGGGTAGGAGACAAAGTGCTTTATTATTCATGGGACAGCAAACAGCATGACATCGTGTTTGCATCAGTGCCCTTTACCCCAATTCCCACAGGGCAACGTGAAGAGGGCCAAGTGACATCTACAGATGAAATTGGGTGAATTACAGTAGATAGATCCTCAATTTAGGAAACCCACCTCTTTCACTATGAGAAGTAAGTGTACCTGCCCCTTGCAGAGAGGAACACTATCTCTATCTTCCATGGCTATGAGCAAATCTGCTGTTTCTTCAGGAGAGAGACACTACCTCTATCTTCCAAGGCTGTTTATTACAGAGAAATACTTGAAAAGATAATCTGGAATAAAGGCAATCAAAATCTGTGTTCAGAGAATGTGCAGAAATGCAAGATACACACAGTGAATTGTCTCCCAATAAGTCCCTCTAATTCTTACACTTCAGTCCAGAAATCTATTTTGCACTTCAAGATTAAATCTTATGTATGACTTTTAAAAACCATTTGTTTTCTCTGAATACTCCTGGTCTTCATGGAACTAAGAGTCTTGTATTACTAAATAAGAAAACCCAGATTCTCTGTCTCCAAAAACGTATTCCCAGCCCCACCCCATCCTAGTGATTACAGTCTCATAAGTAGTTTAAGTGCTGCCAGTGTTTTTCAGGCTGATATCCTAAGTAAAGCAGACAGGAGATAATCAAGTAATACTTCCCAATGAGAATGGAAGACTGGTTAATCTTTGAAGCATTTACAAATATGAAACCCAGCAGGAGAAATTAAAGCATGATTGCAGTCACAAAAATCCTCTCATGTGAATAATTACTATTGGTGTTTGTAATAATCAAAATGTTCCTAATCAGCATGGCTTCAATACTCTGGAGCTAGAAATGTGCTTCTCTTAGTTTGGAATGCAGTCACAATTTATAGTTAGAGTCAGGACTCAAGAAGGGAAGTTGTATTTCACTAGATATCTAAGCACCAGTACTTGAGCTATCAAGTATTTGAAATTGTTCAGTAAAAACTTTTTACTTTATCCATAAAGAAGGTATAAACTGATACATAGGGAAAAATGTTCTTGCTTAATTTCTGCAATAATAGACCTAATCATTAGTATTGAAAGAAGAAATAGAGAAAGAGAGTTACACATAATTCACAAACTGCAACATTAGCATATTATTTTTACATACACAGAGATTCATGTAGCCTAGGAGTAATCGTGCATTCTAACTGCATCTCCAGTAACGGTACCTACAGTGATGCTTTCCTTGAATTACTGGTTTCTAACCTTAAGATAAATACAAAGTATTAACTTCAATCTATAAATTTAGAAACTGAGTCTCAGAGAGGTTTTTAGTTATAATTTAATAAGAATATACATTATCAGTTAAGGTCTAAAAAGTTTTATTGAATATTTATCATGTGCCAGAAACTGTGCTAAGTACTTTAGCTAAGTTATATAATTTAGACCTCATAAGAAAACATTTGAGATGGCTATTATATCTGATCTTCAGGTGAAAAATCAGATATTAGATGGTTAAGTAACTTGTCTCAGCTCAGTACTTAGTTGAGCCACGTTTGCCTGAAACTGGCCTGTTATAACTCCACCCAGATGTTTCTTTCATTGTGTTTGTGTTGAATGAAAATCTCTCTGCCATCTTTCTGCCCACCCAAGCCTGGAAATTTAGCACCTATCTCCACCCTCTACCCTCATTTGATCTCAAGAGATGTAGAAAAATTGCCCACTTTACTGTACCATACTACAGGACAATCAAGTTAATCTTCACTACCTACTCTTCTGAAAGGCAAATATATTTAAGGGGAGTGAGAAACAAGATATGCTAACTTTATCCACCGGGACTCAATAGTAAAATGTAATGATCAAAGTTCTAAACTTAGAAGCATTTCAACAAAATCTTGAAAAAATATTATTGATGACTTAACCTGATTTTTTGTTCATTAGACAGAAACCTATGCTCTCAACTCATAGAATATATCAATGGATGTCCAAAATGTATATTCATATATGGAAAAAGTGTTGTATTTCTTTTAGAATGATATAAAGAAGAGATACTTTTTTCTTGACCATGAAGTTAACCATTTATGTCTCCAGAAACACTGAATGGATGTGGTACATTATGTAGGGGTGAAAACAAAGGAACTTGAGACATTTAAATTTATTCTCCAGTTTAAAAGTTACTCTCCTTGCTGAGGCTATGTGGGACAAAATATTTGCACATGAGAGAAAGAGCATCCTTGATGGAATTTTGGAGCTGATTACTTACATAACTGTTGTGCAAAAGTATAGAGCCAAATGTAAACATCCTTCAACACAGGGGATAAGAGGGGTTCATTTAACAATGAGGCTATGAGAATTACAAAACTAGTGAAGAGTTCCAAAGTGTAGAGACAGCAAAGTAAACAGAGTACTCTGGTTTCCATAAATATGCTACTAACATGCTCAAACATATGTTCCCTAGGGTATGTAGAAACACAAAACGATTTCTCCCTGAAACAACAACAACAACAGGAGCAGAAGCAGCAGAAGATGAAGACAAAGACAGAGATGAAGACAAAGAAGAAGGAAGAAGAAGAAGAAGAAGAAGAAGAAGAAGAAGAAGAAGAAGAAGAAGAAGAAGAAGAAGAAGAAGAAGGGGAGGAGGAGGAAGGAGGAGGAGGAGGAAGATGTAAGTATACATGTAGGTAACATTGCAAAAGTGATTTGGTATTTATAATGTGCATTAGACAGTTTTTCTTACTCAAACATATCTCTTTAGTTGACTGACAGTTTCAATTTCCAATCATTTGTTGTTGAATTTACAGTAGACCTCTAAGCATGTTATTTGGAAAAATGTTTAAGATTCTGAACTATCTTATTACCGAAGAGAAGTGTTACTCTTGGATGGCTATATAATTAGGAAGACAAAGAAAGTGAGTATGAGCTTCTAGCACTATGCTTCCACTTACTTCTCAACTTCTAGAAGTGAATGAAATCGCAACAATTTTGAGAACCCAACTCTTCTTCGGTGATAATTATAACAAACCTGTCTTTGTAAACCTAGAGTTCAGACTTTGGGATTTTAAGCGAACTCTGGGTGGCATTGATTTATGTCTTCTATATCTAGGAATCTAAATGTCATTATTTTCTTTTTCTTTTGTTATTATTTCCTGAAAAATTTTTACAAAAGATATATATATATATATATATATACTCACAAAAAATCATACCTAATGTAACGGATAAAATAAAAAGAGATAATTCATGTTAATAGTTTTACGTATATGAAATGCATATCATTGCATATTCATTTTAGACCTATACTTTATCTTGTATATTATATATATTTTGTAAAATACGAATAATACTATTTAGATCTTCGCTCATTGAATCAGCTAACCGTGAAAATGTCTTTTTGCATCAATGGATAAATATATACCTCATTTTTTAAATGCTCATTTAATTTCATGATGGGAACATACCAAAATTTATTAAACTATTTTCCTATTCTCAGACATTTAATATGGCTCTGATTTTAAAAGCATTTGCATTAATCCTACATTAAACTTCCATATGCTTATACCCTGCCACACTTGCATTCAAATATCTGTAGAATGGATTTCTAGAACTAGGATACTGATTTAAAATTTGTATACAGTATACTGATAATTTGATAGCCACTAACAGATTGCCATTTTTACAACCAACAACTCAAATAAATACTGAATAGCATCACTTTTTTAAAAAGTTTTCATTAGTCTGATAACTGTGACTGTTTTAGTTTGTGTTTCTATGATCACAATTGCTGCTGAATATCTTCTCTCATGTTTATTGGCCACTGGTGAAATTTCCTTGTTGACCTATGGTTTTGTCCTGTGTTCTCATTTTTATGTGCATTGTCTGATTTTTTTTAATTGAATTCATTAATGCATAGGATATTTGTAGGTTCCTTCTTTCACCAGTAAATCATTTTTATTTCTATTTGGGGGTGTGAATTTAATTTTAATGTTTTTGTTTACTTGTGTTTTTGTTTTATTTTATTATAATGTCTGTAATCCTTTTCCATGTATTAAATAATAAATTACACTGCTTTGGAAAGCTTCCTTTCCATATACAATTTCTTGATTATCCATGGGTCCTTTCCTGGATTCTTCATTGTGATTATAGCTGTGCAAGTCTTTCTGTGCCAGAATTATTGAGTTTTATTTACTATAGCTTCATGTATATTTTTATATCTGGTAAAATCTCTAAGCCTTGATTTGATGGTTTTGCTCACATTAACTCCTTCAGAGAACTTCTGGATTGATTTAACTAGTTCTAAAAATAAACTGATTGGTTTATTCAGTGTATTTTTAAAGATTATGTATACAATAAGTTTTGGAAACTGCAAGTTAGTGTACACATGTGTAGGTATGAATTCCTCAAATGGGCAGGAGAAAGTTTGCCTGAACAGGCATGTCCTTTTAATATAGTGTGCCGCTAAATGAGGAAATCTCAAATTTGGATTTAGATTTGGAAACCAGATAAAAACAATGATGAGTACAAACGACAGTTACTGAAGCTTCTTCAAATAAAAATGTGATAAAGAAATAACTACTTATATTTTCTAGGAGTCATGTTTATTAAACTGTTATGTAAAATTTTAGTTTTCCTTGACATCTGACATGCTGAACTTTGAGAACTATATTTATTTTTTATGTCTGCATTAATATACTTTAATAGAAGAGCAACCTTAGAGTGAAAATTATCTTTCAAAAGGAAAGAATGAGAACAGAATTTGTGACTACAATTTCAAATTTTACAACCACATTCTCTACCTGTACTCATGCATTGCTGTTGTAGAGGAGTTACTGCAAAGTTTATAAAAATCTTGTACTAAAATGTTCTTCTTTTTCCCTCTACATTTTCCTGGTACTTCACAAGCTCTTATCAAGGGAGATATTAGTTCATCTTTTGTTTTTTGTTTTTTTTTAATTTTCTTTTGTTTTTATATACTTTTCAGAGTAAATTACACATTGATTTTAGGAAACATAAGAAATAGCCCCATCTTGTAATGTTTGTTTGTTTGTTTTTGGAATTAATGGGGCCTTCCATGAGCATATATATGGGAAGCAGATTCCCTTCTATCTGAAAACAGGGCTTGTATTTGAGCCCTCTTTAAGACTTTGACAAAAGCTTTCTGAACCTTGACTAACCTTCCCCAACCATGTTCCTCCAAAGCCACAGGGCAATTCTACTGAATTCGCTGACTTGTTTGGGAGCCTGACAAAATTTTCTCCAGGCAATGAAATCATAATTTAAACATATGGCTGTCAGACTGACTTAGGACTGTTCAATCTGTGAAATAGCTAGGTTTCCTAGAGGTATCTAGTCTCCCAAGGTCATACAAAGAGTAACTATAATATTTTAGCGTAGTTCACAGAGCTAATAATGAAGGATAAGAACAGAACATCATTCCAGTTCCTAATTCTCAGTCACTGTTTCCAAGTTTTGACTTTATTTCACTTTGATAGTTTAGAAAAAGTACAAACTTTTAACCCAAATTGGTTTATATAGAAATTATAAAACAAAACAAAATGTTTTGTTTTGTTTTCAATACAATCATAGTTGATTTTTGTGTTTAATTTGAATTTAAGAACATTGATATGATTCACTTGATTCATAATAGAGTGAATTTGCTTGCTAGAATATTCTAAAAAATAAATAAAACAAAAATATGGTATAAAAATGAGCCTCTATGATAGCAATCCCTGATTCTTTCTTTGTCTAGTAAAAGTTGGTTTTCATTTCAGAATTTGCTGAATCCAAACTACATGGCTTCTTTTTCGGTATTCCTTTCTGATGTTTTGTAAATGGTTTTTTGCTTCAGCAATACCTACTCCAGTTGTTAATAAACATGTAAAACATGGCAAGCATAGGTTAGTTTCCTTTAATTTCTTATTCATTGTTTTTCATTCAATTTGTTTTGCATTCCATTTTATTTGATTTGAATTTTAAAACCTTCCCTTCCTCCCTCCCTCCCTCCCTTCTTTCTTTCTTCTTTCTTTCTTTCTTTCCTTCCTTCGTTCCTTCCTTCTTTCCTTCCTTCGTGCCTGCCTGCTTTCTTTCTTTCCTTGTTTCTTTCCTTCTCACTCTCTTTCTTTCTCTCTCTTTCCTTCCTTCCTTCCTTTCTTTCTTTCCTTCCTTCCTTACTTCTTTCCTTCCCTTCCTCCCTTCCTTCCTCCCTTCCTTCCTTTTTTCCTTTCTTTCTTTCTTTCTTTCTTTCTCTTTCTTTCTTTCTTTCTTTCTTTCTTTCTTTCTTTCTTTCTTTCTTTCTTTCTTTCTTTCCTTCCTTCCTTCCTTCTTTCCTTCCCTTCCTCCCTTCCTTCATTTCTTTCTTTCTCTTTCTTTCTTTCTTTCTTTCTTTCTTTCTTTCTTTCTTTCTTCCTTTCTTTTGTCTTTCCTTTCTTTCTGTCTTTCCTTTCTTTCTGACTTTCTTTCTCTCTTTCTTCCTTTCTTCCTTTCTCTAAACCTTATTGTCTTGTTAGTAAAAATACTTTAGCAGAAGTTGGATGGAGAAAGAATATTTTTCTTACTGTTGTGATGCTAAGGTTGAGTTTAACAATAGCTTGGGCCTTAAGCATTTTGTCTTTGGTCCTACCGCCTGCTGAGTTGAGTTTCTCTAAAATAATGAATTCACTTTCCTTGCAAATGCCAATTCTTCCTTGCTTCAGGCCTCAACCATATGATGAAAAAAACCCAAATGGTTAGTCTGGTATTTGATAAATTTTGGCTGAGTTTGAGTGTGGTGGTTCAACTGCAAAGCCTCAAATGAATTGGTTGCCATAGGCAAAAATCTTAATTTTATTATTCAAAAAGCTAAGAATTATACTAGAAAAACTTACTTGTTATCATAGACTGTTACACTGTAATGCTTGTGTTAACAATAACCATACATATCAATTGTTGAGAATATTTTAATTTGCTAACTACTTTACCAGTATTATTTCACAAATATTCCATGTAAAATGAAAGTATTAAATCTCTATTACAAATAAAGATACTAAAGTTCAAAGAAGTGGCCCAACTTAACATCCGTAAATAATCTACCTAGAAAAAAAGGACAGTTTTGCTTCCAAATTTCTTTTTTTAATACTACATTAGGCAGCTTTCCTAAAAAAATATATATATTTTTTCTTTTTTTTTGAGATGAAGTTTCCCTTTTGTGGCCCAGGATGGAGTGCAATGGCGGGATCTTGGCTCACTACAACCTCCGCCTCCCAGGTTCAAGTAATTCTCCTGGCTCGGCCTTCTGAGTAGCTGAGATTACAGGCATGTACCACCATGCTTGGCTAATTTTTATATTTTTAGTAGAGGTGGATTTTCGCCATGTTGGCCAGGCTGGTCTTGAACTCCTGACCTCAAGTGATCCACCCACCTAAGCCAGCCAAAGTGCTGGGATTACAGGTGTGAGCCACCGTACCTGGCCTGAATATTTAATTTTTAATAATTCATAATAACTACATTTCATTGCTGCAGATATTTGTGATCAGAAACAGTATCAACAGTCTCTCATTACAGTTATACTCCCAGGCTATGTGGAGGGATTTACCTTCACTGCCTTATAATCAGGAACTTTTGGAAGCCACAAAATCTATTTCTACATTCAAATCCAGATTCTGACTTATAAGCCATGTGTCTTTAGGAAAGTCTACTAATCTTACTGAACTCAGGTTCCCTATCTGTAAACAGCACCTTTATAAGAATGCAATTACGAATATTATGTGAGATATAAGCAACGACAACAACAACAAAACTAGTAGAGTGTCAGGTATATTATAGCTACTAAATAATAACTTTTTTTTATGAGGAAGGGACTGTTATTTGGGAGTTATTTTTTCTTTTCCCTTAAATAAAATTTAAAGGTGGCCAACTTTATGTTGAAATTCCAATATTGAATGTGGTTAATCACAAGCAGAAAAACCCACTCAATTCTTATTTATTTATTTATCTATTTTTTCTTTTCTTTTTTTTTTTTTTTTTTTTTTTTGAGACAATATTTCTTGCTCTGTCACACAGGCTGGAGTGAAGTGACGCAATCTCGGCTCACTGCAACCTCCAGCTCCCAGGTTCAAGTGATTCTCCTTCTTCAGACTCCTGAGTACCTGGGATTACCAGCATGTGCCACCACACCTAGCTAATTTTTGTATTTTTAGTAGAGACGGGTTTTCACCATGTTGGCCAGGCTGGTTTTGAACATCTATTTATTCATCCAGAGCATGCTTTCTGGGCCAAATCCCAAGTTTTCATAGGGGTCAGTCCACATTTCTGAGATTTGTATGAGCTTATCATTGATATATAATTACTCAAACTTGAATATTACTCATTTTTAAAACTCTCGATCTCTCCCTACCCAAGCGGACACTCTCTCTCTCTCTCTGTCTCTCTGTCTCTCTGTCTCTCTCTCTCTGTCAAAGTTTATTTAGGTCAAAAAAGAGAGAGAGAGATAGGAGACAGGTAAAGATATCAGTATCAATTTAGAAGTATAGATATCAATATTGATATAGAGATATGGATATTGATAACTAGTAGAGTGTTTATATAGCTATAGACAAATAGATATCTATATCTATATTTACATATCTATATCTCTCTATATGTAGACATAGAGAGAGAGAAGGGAGAGGCTATGAAATTTTCTCTGCAGAGAAATCTTGGTGAATGTTATTCTAAGCAAAATTGGAAATGAGTTTGGTTAAGAGAGATGCTTTTGTGTAGTTGTAAATTATAGTAAAAATATAATTACATCCATTTTCTACATTTAACACAAGGGCACTAGTTATGTCTGGAGATATTTATGTACAGCCGTAATAAAAGTGCATCTATATCCATAAATTTGTTTTCATTTCATTCCACACAACACAATTATTATAAACATCAAGAATTGGGAGCTATTGAACAGATGGTTTATTAGTGTCCTAATTCTTGATCTTTATTCTAGTAAATCCTTCCATTTCATATCCTTTCCACAAATCCTATGGCCATTCAGGGCATGATGAATGATTTTTTAAATGCTGCTTTAATGTTGATGTCATTTTTTTGTAAACAAATATGTAAATGCAGCTGTCCAGCAGGATAATGATACCACGTTAAACTCTTCAAATATTTAAACTAGACATATCCTAACATGCCAGCAGGTTATGAATAAGCTGAATGCAGTTTCTTGCTACAAATATGCCTAATGGTTTTCATTATTTTTGATATATAATCTCTGTAAGTTGACTCTCTCACTTAGATCTATGTTTCTTTCTGCAAGATAGACACTTAGTCGTTGTTACTGATTGGATATGTATTCATTCTGTTAACTTTAACAATGAAAAACATAAGTAAACATACATTCTTATGGTTTAAAAGGAGTTTACACATAGACTATGTGTGTGCATATATTTATGCACTTTAATTTTACCAAAGGAGACACATAAACATCCTGAATGCCTGATTTTAGCTATAAATTTTTTTTAATTGCATGTTTCCTCAATCAAGTTATATAGGATACAGCATTTTAAAGTATTTAATCTAGAGAGTTGTGACAGCATTTTAATAAATTATATTTATTTTCTTACCTCCCTTCTGACTTACATTAGTCATCGTGTTACCAATTTTATTTGGAGAGTCAAAAAATTCTTCTTCAAGGATTTCAAAAATAATTTATATATTATTTGAACTTTTAAAATAAATAATTGTTTCTAATCATCAGCTTATTATCATTTTTCCTAACTCTGAATAAATCTGCATTTACCTTCTTGGGTTGATGGGTTAGACATCTGTGAAAAGAAAAGTCTTTGAAAGAAAATGGGTGAATCTGGGTTACATTTGAGTTGCTGATAAACTGAAAACTGCCAAAAGAGGAAAATTGGATAGTGCCCTATTTACATTACTGTTAAATAGACTCTGATTCTCACATACATATTTTTATTCCTGATGAGTATTTGTTGCATCTTATGGAAAAATAATGTAAATGTATCTTTTGGGAAGCCTGTGGTTGACTGTACTAGCTGTGGTTCGAACATTTGCTGTGGTTGGCTATATCCTGTATTATATTCTCTTCAAATGTTACTGGTTTAACGTGTATGTAAAATACTCTATGCCCAAGGCCCATGTAGGAAAATTTCCCCGACTCAACATCTTAAAAATAAAAACATGGGCCTAGGATTAAGATGGCACAGGAGCTAGCTTTTCCCACTACCTGTCTAAGTGAAAATTTTATTTCGACAGTATGCAAAATGTTGACAGTACTATCAGTATTATTAGTTATTTAAACACGCTGTAGATAATGCACTAAAATGCAGAGAAAAGAATAATTTTATGGCAAGAAAAAAGAGAGAGGAAAATTGGCATTCATTAGATGTCTATTAGGTGTCACACAAGAGGGCTATCTGATTCACACTTGTTTTCCTATGTAATGCCACCACCAGCTTATAAAATATCATTACTTCATTTGAAAACTTCAGAAAAGTTCAGCAATCTGCCCACGGCCTTACAGTTTTGAAACATCTGTGACTTCAAGTATATATTCGTGCATAATCATTTATTGTGCCATGCTAACCTGGGTTCTACTTCTGTAAAGATCATGTGAAAACTTACGTAAGCTTTGTGACCTGTCAAAGTGGTTGGGGCAAACAATCTCTAAATTCCACTAGAGTGCCAAACACTTATGACTCAAATATACATAAATTTTGTTTTTGCTATATTTACCATGTTTCTCTGTATGCTGAAATACCAAACGAGACTTCCAGCCTGGGAAATATAATTTGCCTAAATAACCCAGATGACAAAGATGTCTAGATTAAGGTACAAAAATGTAACCTATTACTTAAACCACTTTTATTTTCTTTTACTCCTACTGAGCTATTATTTCAATATCACTTATAAAAGAAGAGACATCCCTCTGGATATGCTAGTATAGTCAATTAAACATGGTGGTCTGTATTATATACAGAGGGATTAGAAAAGTGGGACTACTTAAATGAGTGTAATGAAATATTCCATATAAATATTCATATATATAATGCATAATGCTAAAACACAATTTCATTGTAGATATCTGAGCCATTCAAATACACTTTAAAGGATCAATTTTTTCTGAGTTTCAACGAAAGTTTATTTGATATTTTATTATTTTTACTTATTTCTTTTCCTTCACCCTACATTATTTTGTAAACTATAAAAAGACACACTGAATAAATGAGAACACTCTTGCTATTTTTTTCTCATTTGGTTCACGTTTAGTTAAAGAAAGTAAAAACGTTTCTCTGTTGAATAGAATCAGCACCACTTCATCAATTAGGTAAGGGCTTCCTGCCATTTAAAATTGACAGTAAAAGCGAAAGGTACCAGACTGCAGCACTGGAGATAGAGTGATTAGGCATCCCTAGGATCCCTGGTTCTAGATTTGACCTCAAATTCTTTCTGCCAAGACTTTGTAACTGCTCAGAGGGCCTTGGCCACCGGCCTCATGAGACAAAAGAAAAGTAGCTTAAATCTCTGAAACGCTAAAGTAAGCCTGATTCTATGTTGCAGTTGGATGTACTGGATCATCAAAATAAAACTCTTGCCATGAATAAATAATAATAAATACTCAGAGATGAGCTTTATGTGACTGACATAAAGGTGGTCAAGCATGGATATAAAATGAATGAAAAAGATTTTACTATGAGCTCACAGTCTCACAGTAAGGAAAGAGAGTAATGTAGGAGTGTGGTTAAGAGAATAGGCTTTGAAGTCAGAGCATTTGGATTTGCATTTTAGTGTGGATATTCACTAGCTGTGTGACCTTAGGCAAGTCTTTTGATCTCTCTAGTCTACAATTTACTGAATGATTTGTATAACAGAAATATTAAGACCATCTCTCATAGAGACTCATTTTGAGAATCAAATTGAATTATTATGAAAATTACTTTTCACATTACTTGGCACCAAGTAAACACTCTAAGAATATTAAACACCATAGTTATTATCATTTAAAAAAACTGACATCATTATATGCACACATAGTTTGAAGTGGTTCATTCTGGCTAAAACAAAACACAAGAATATCAAAAATTATATAAAATATTGAATATAAAAACACAATATAAAGTATTTTCTTGTCATTAATTTATTATATTTTATGGTAGTATGTGCATATATTAATGACATATCAGATGGAACACAATAAACACACCCATAATTAGAGTATCAATTGATGTTTTGGAGTATTAAAATATCATTATTTTTAAACACTCACAATTTATGAAAAATATAGATGTCTTAAAGCAAATTACATGTATGTGTGTATGTATACATACATGCATATACATATTACAAGCTGATATTCATAGAGAATCATCTAGTAAAATCTACCTTGTGAGTATTACATTTTAAAGAGAGAATCATAGTATAGGTATTTCCATTTCCATATACACACTATAGCCCCCAAATTATTTAATATTTATTTCTTTAAATGTTTGAAAACGCTGTGCAATTGTATCCTGTTTCATAGTCACATAACATTTTTTAATCTGAAGCAGAATGTAATTGGCATTGCTCTGAGACTATTGTTCACATGATGAAGCTTCAGTGAATTTGTTTGCAAAACCAAAATCAGTAGAGTGATTTAGTTGTGTTTCATTAGATAAAGGATATAAATTTATTTTCAATTTGTAGAAGATCATAAAAGGACCTGCAACAGTTTAGCCAGGAGAACACTAAAAATTCAGATTTTTATAACTGTTGACTTTCATTAAAACAAGACAAAACTGTGGAATTGCATTGTAGATGAAGTAAAAGAATAATGTTTTCTAATCGTTAACTCAGGATTTCATTATTAATTATAAATCTCATTAAATTCAGTTTTATTCTCCAAACCACTCAATAAATTAATTAATCAATGGATAAGTAAATAAAAATTGGGTAATGACACATAGGGAAGCTGTGATGTTTCTTCAGCGAATATCTTTAAGAATACATTGGCATTTATTATATCTGAACATAACAGGCAATTAACTACTGCCCAGAAACAGGGCTATCTTAACATAATCTTCAAATCTCTCTTCCAAAAGTTTATCTCTAAAATCACTTCCCAGTTGACACTTGACCACAAAACTCAGAAGGTAACCAAGCCCAACCCCTAATGTGGTCTTCAGTTTTATATTCCTTATTATTGCAATCACCTTATTTAAGTTTTAATCATTAAGCTGATTGCATTGCTGCACAAGGTCAAGAAGCACTTGTAGAATCAGAAACCCCAAAGTGGTTATGGACTGGCTACTCAGATTTTTTTCTTCACTTGCTCAGGCTCCGCCCCATCTGAAACGTCTTCTCTGCTAGGAACTCACTAGGAGAAAATGACCAGTGAGCTTACCAAAGCTCAGACCTTATCCACCAGAAACATTGTATGGGGCACCTCACCTTTTCAGCACCTCCTGCCATAACAGGACGGAAGTGCTGAAGGGACAGCTCCCAGTGTTTTAGGTCTTAGTAAGCGCTCCCAGGAAGACAGCACCCATCCCCTCTCTGCTACAAACAGCCATTCACAAAATCCGAGGAGGAAACCAAGTCATCCCTGATTCCTTGGAAATTTAGTTAGACTGATGTTGAAACACACCCCCCTTTCCTAGTGTATAATTATTTGTGGGTGGAGAGCTACCAGGGAGGGTAACAGAAGATGCCGGAGAAGGGGGGGGAAAAGTAGATGCGGATTTCGTCCTGACTTCTAAAAATTCCTCCTCTCCCTCTCCCATTTTCCTAATCCGAGAATGATGGAGCTCGAGGCAAAGGAATGATTCCGGAAATGGAGATATGATTCTCAAACCTAGAAATGATCGGAGTGATTTATTAGTTAAATATTCTTCGTCCAGGAACCCAGCACAATTCAGAGGTAACAGCGCCTGCGTTTTCTCCATGATAACATAGACAAACAGTTGCCTCCAAAGGTAAAAACCCGGTTCCGGAGGGTATTCTTGCTGTCCTCTAAGCTACAGAAGAAGGTGGGGTGGAAAGCGCTCCCAACCTGAGAAAGTGCGAAAGACTCTCTAAATCCAGTAGCCAATTTCCTACCTGCCAGAACTCTTTCCTACCATCCGTCACCATTCGTGACTCTGCAAGACACGGGGACTTAGACATATGTGTGGGAGTGTGTGTGTGAGGGAGAGAGGCGAGACGAGTGCTCTCCCCACACGTGTAACCCTGCATCTCCCAGTTTCAGAGCTTGCGTTCATTCATATGCAGGCAGTGGTTTAATATTTGATCAAAGGTAGAATAGTTGCACTAAATAGTTGTATTTTTAATGGGCTCACCTTAAAATCGGGTGTTCATAAATTGCAAGTGTGAAAAGACTCTAAGTGCAGTCCGTATGTCTCTCACCCTTTCTACCCTTCCCTCCCCCATTGCCGCTCCCCCCAAAAAGAGAAGCTTGCAGCAGATTGTAGAAGGATTTGAGCCTGCAGCTAGAGAGAAGGGGATTAGGGCCAGAGTGGTGCAAGTTAAATTGTGCTGCATATAAAAAATGGGCGGATTGGTCTCCAGATCCAGAGGCTGGTACCACCTTCCTTTCTAAAATAAAATCTCTCTGGCATGAAGTCACCGCCTATTTCACATCCGGTTTGCCCTGGGACGTATTACTACTGTCTTGGTAAAGAGAAATCTTTTGTTGTATAGCTGCAGATTGGATATTGGGAAGCAAATTTGGGTGTGAAATCTTCAGCAAAGGAGCACGCAGAGTCCATGATGGCTCAGACCAAGTGAGTGAGAGGCAGAGCGAGGACGCCCCTCTGCTCTGGCGCGCCCGGACTCGGACTCGCAGACTCGCGCTGGCTCCAGTCTCTCCACGATTCTCTCTCCCAGACTTTTCCCCGGTCTTAAGAGATCCTGTGTCCAGAGGGGGCCTTAGGTAAGTGCGACTTTGGACCACGATACACAGACAGAGCTTTGAACGTGGCTTTTCCTAGCTGGAGAGACAGGAATGTTATAGTCGGGGGGGGGGGGCGGGGGGAGACGGGGGGAGAGAGAGAGAGAGAGAAGAAGGAGAGCGAGCGAGCGAGCAAGGGAGCGAGCAGGACAGGAGCCTGATCCCACAGCAGGTAGAAACAACGAAATGTTTTTCTTTCAGGGTGAAACCGCAGCAATATAAGAGCATTATTATTATTTTTTTCCCGCTGTCTTTCTTCTTTTCTTCTCCTCTTTCTTAGGCATATTTGAATGTATTCCGCAGGGTGGGTGGTGGCATGTTGTTTTGGTCTTTTATTTATTTATTTATTTGCAAGGGGGAGCTGGGGTGAGTTGGGGAGGGGCGTCGGGGGCCATCATCTAAAGTTAAGACGCTGGGACGGAAAACCTGTCTCACTGTTCCATCATCCTAGGGAAGGCACGCTCTTGTCCTGGCTGCAAAATTGCCTGTTTTTCCCTTTCCAGTGGACGCTGGTGAAATGCCCTCTTGTGTAGGGGTCTCTCCCATTCTGAACACGAAAACTCAACTTAGTCTTTGATATGGATGGCATGGGATGGTAACGTTTGGAGCGTGTGTCTGGGGGAGGGGGAGGTTGAAGGTAGAAAGTGGTAAGACTGCAGCTTAGCCTTTCTTTTAAACTATTATGTTTGTATTTGCAAGAAACTTTCTTAACAACTGAAGTGCCATGATAGGTTTGTTTTTCTCTTTTAAAAATGTCAGAAGAGGGCAAAAATCTATGGTGCCTTGTCAAATGGTTTTGCTGTGTTTTGTTTACCCATTCAGATATTCAATCTTTTTAAAAAGATCAACAAAAATTAATAGGGCTAAGAAAAGTTGTTTTTCCCTTGTAACAAACGATGAAGATTAGTAAAAGGGTAAATTAAAATTTTGCAATTTAGATGTAGCATTTTAACATAATATTTATCCAAGATTTCTTGTCATAGTCAACTAATCTGTTTCAAAACCAGTCACTAAATTACTAAATTAAGGAAAAGCTATGACGAGGCTCAGAGTTCTTATCTCTAGACCATTTCGCTCTAAACATATTATGTTTCATTGCTTACAAGCCTGTTTGTAATGGTTTTTAGTGATTTAAATGATTTCCCGAGACTGCAGAAAGCATTTTGTAGATGTATTTAAAGGCATACCACATTAAACTATAGAGGGTTTAATGAAAAAGAAGCTTTAAAAGATTGCAGTCTATTAATCACTTACCCTACAAAGAAATATAGATTAAATACTTTGAACATTCCTTATATTATGACTGGAATTAATTACAGCACATTAAAATGTTACCATAGCTGCTCCTTATCCAGGTAGTGCATTGAATTTCGAAAACTGACTCCACACATAGACTATATACATTTTTAATTCTCTAAGCTTTCTGTACTCTTCCAGTTCTCCAACATTCCACTACCAAGTCTAAATTCAACAATCAGATGGTGATTGATTGCACTTTACCTAAGAGGTAAAAAGATCCCTTTATTCATGCAAAGCAAAGCACTCCAGCTTCCATCTGTTTGAGATGAAACATTTTCTAGCAGCAACCTGGCAGAATTTGAGAGGGCTTGAAAGATATGTGTGGGCATGTTTGTGTGCATTTGTGTGTGTGTGTGTGTGTGTGTGTGGTTTGTATGTGAGAGAGATCAGCACATGGCTTGACTATAAAGTGTGTCCTTTAGCTTCACAGAAACATTAGGAAGCATGTTTAACAAAGCAGTCACAGGAACAGAATAAAAGCACGACTCCGGCATTCAACAGTGTGTTTCCTATGTTTTTAAATAGAAATAAATACAGTTGCTTCTGAAATCAAGGTACCTGCAGAATTCAAAGAGGAATTCAGCCATCACAACATGTTAACCTATCCCCTCCAATCCCTAAATATGTTCTTCCTGTTAGAGACACCAGCTTAAAAATTTTAATGCACAGTTCACTGTGGAAACTGAAATCTTAAAAGTCCAAATATTTAGATGATAAACAACAAGAAGAGAATAAACCAAACTATATTCTAAATATAAAACCTAGAGATAAACAACTCACAGTTTTTATGTTGAGCAATACTGTCACCTGAAAGCGTTTCAGCTTGTATTCTTTTACAGGAGAATAAGGACACTGATATATTTCTGAATGGAGAAATGGAAGGGAAAGTGGAGAATGGATGGTCCAGGTTTCCATTGCTTCCAATGAGGTGTCATATCCCAGTGAGGTCATTTCCTGACTTCAAAGCATTCATCTAAACTGCCTCAGTCAGCCCTGGTGGTTATAACCTGATGTTTCTTGCTAGAGACATTGATCTCTACTTATTCTACTTTTCAGCTGCTCCAGCCCGCGATGAGGAAAAGTCCAGGTCTGTCTGACTGTCTTTGGGCCTGGATCCTCCTTCTGAGCACACTGACTGGAAGAAGGTGGGGACACTTTTTTAAAAATCTGCATGAAAATTTCTGTAACTTTTCATTTATTTTATCGGGGGAAGAAAATTGTCCTCAAATGAATTTATGACTAAGGGAATTCAGAAAACTTAACTGCAATAATTTCCAGCTAAGAATAAAGAGGAGCAGTATGAAACAAATCATTATGTTTGCACGTTAGTTAGAATACAATTAACAAGCCATTGTTAAGACATGTATTAATTCAACATTTAAGTCTTAGATTGAACTTCTCACTGTTCAGTTGGAACTGAACAAAACGTGCGGTTTCCTAATTCATAGAAAAAGTTACCCCAATTAGTGGTTGCATACTGTGTAACCTGATTTAACAACAAGAAAATTTCTAGCCTATTGTAAAGATCATAGAGTAACTTTTGTGTTTATAGAAATGGAAAGTTTTAAATAATATCTGTTATTTGAAAATCACGTCTCTCTAAATGCATATGCATATCACGTTTTGAAATTGTTATCTATATAACTAATAAAAGTGGACTATATGAGACAAATATTTAAGAACTTTGGTAAAATCAAATTTCCCTATTAAAAAAACAATTACTAATTGTTTATAAAGCTTAATCATAGTCAAAATATGTTCTAATGATCCAATCAAGCATGTGAAATTAATATAATAGAAACTATTTACATGACTAAGTATTACAGATTTTTCTTTATCTGCTTTTGTATTTCTTGTGTAGCCTATTCCTGTGACCCATAAGAAGGTCAGACATATAATAAAAACATGAGTTTATTCAAAATGTAATGGCAAGGGAACTCTTAAGAGTTAAGATAGGGAGATGGAATAGTCTGGAAAGACATATGAATTTAGGAAGATTTATTTTAATTCAGAAGTTTTCTGTTGTTGTTTTTTGCTATTGTGTATGGTAAACACTGACAGACAGGCATTATTATCAGATATCCTTAATGAGAGAAGTTAAATGTCTTTACTGCTTTTGAAAAATTATATGAAGTGTTACTATTGCAATGACCTGTAGATGGAGTTAGTGCACAGTGTTTTATTATATAGTGGTTCATATGGAATCAAAATCAGGTAATGTAACTGGCATTTCTCTTCAAAATATATATTCAGTTTAGGAAACACTACATTGGGATGAGTGTTTAATACAAAATGAATAAGCATCTTATTCGTAGGGTTTTTTTCTGGCAATTAAAACTTGACATAGTAAGTTAGAAGTAAAGATGAAATGTCATTAAAAAATCACGTAAAATAAAGATTTCCATTCCAGCTGGGAAAGCAGAACTGGTCTTGGGGAAAAGGCAGTGGTCTCTTTGGGCATCTGCATTCCAATGCAAACAATTGGTGAAAACATTTGTAAGACAAAACCAGGAAGAAAAGCATTTTCTGAATTTTATATAAGCTGTAAAAACTTAGAGGGTGTAGATAAAGGTAATAAACACTCTATATTTTAAGAATTGTTTTAATAATTTAAGTTTATTTAGTCATGTTACCCCATTTCATCTTTTATTTCTTCTTATTGTATTGCTTTCTTCCTCAGAGTTCCCGATCAGGGCCTCCTCACAACTTAGGGTGTTCTAGCATTTATTTTCCATCTTTATCAAGATGACCTTCCAGCATCCTTGAAAGATGCAGGAATGGCAGTTGATTTTGTGACAATGAGTTTTTATAAATAATTGCATTCACAAAACTATTTTTGCCTTACTGTTGTCTTCTGCCAATGAGACATACTGGAAGACACTTAGCTTGTTGAAAATTTGATTTAAAAAAACAGCAAGATGTTTAATTTTGCCAAAAGAGAGTAAGCCCTCAATCTGCATGGCATCAATGTTGAAATTAGGAGAATGAAAAATTGTTTCAAAGAGACACATTACATATATCCAATATTATGGATAGCCTTTAGTTTTAGTAACTTTATCAAATTAAAACTTTATCAGAATAATAGCCATTGCATTTTGCCGATACGAAATTAATTACCTGCAAAACAGTGTTTGTTTTTGAAATGATTTTTTGATCATATATCTTGCTGCTGTCAAATAAGTGAATTCTGGCTTCAAATGTTACTATTTTTCTTATATTTATCAGTAACATCAACACACAGGAATGAAGCCCAAAGTATATTAAGTAGAAAATACAAAAGTGATATATTTGTGGCAGTTTCTTAGTTTACACCCTATATTCATTTTGCTTTTGTACTCAAGGTCAGAACTATGATTGAAATATATCAGTAAATGTGATCCATCCTAAGATAGAAAACAATTCTCTCAAAGGATTTTGGAGTTGTCATGCTAATCATCACATAAAATATGATTCAAGGAGCATAGATAGCAATGTGATTGATGTAGGAAATACACAATTTTTGAACTGAGGTCACTATGTGGTCGAAACACAAAGACTAATAATGGTAAGGGACACAGGCTACATCTCCAACTAGCAACGTTTAAATATAAATAATTATCCCAATATAGAAGAAGAAAATAAAGTTTCAGACTAGAATTTGAAGAAAGCTAGGTTCTAGGTCAAGGTTTGCTCACAAATAGGTGTGCCTTCTTAAACAAAACACTAAAACTGTGCTACAGCTTAGTCAACCACAAATTAAGATTATTGAACTTGATCTTTCTAAAGGTTCTTTTTACATCTGAGACTAGAAATAATAAAAATTAATTAGATGTTTGAGCAGACAAATTTTAATCATTGGGTCATGAATCTTAAGAGGAATGGAAATTTGCACACTGATGTAAAAATATAATTGTCCTAAGAAATGTTTTACCTAAATCTCTTAAAAGAACATCAAGAAAATCCCACCAAAACACAGACCTATATGAAGTGAATGAAGGAAAGGATGTTGGTAGGTAAAAACTTAGGCTTTTGCTGCATGTTAAATAAAAAAGAAAATCAGTTGTTTTGGTAACTCTTTTTAATTTGGAAAGAACTTTCCTAGGTTTGTTTTCTCTATTTTTTTTTATGTGCATTAGCATTCTTGCTTGCTCAGAGAAGACGTGCATTGCAACGTAATAAACATGATAAGAATTCAAAAAGTAAACAGACAGAAGTCATTTCTTACAATTTTCCTTTCACATTTAAAAACTGAAAATTAAAAATATAATTAAATGCCCAGAGTTTAAAAATAACATTCCTTTTTACCTTGTGAAAAAATAATTTTCAAGTTAAGATTCAGTAGAAACCAAAGTAGAAAAACTGAGAAAGGATTTATTTGGAAAGAGGTTTTAGTAGAAATGTATAATTTAGCTATTGCTTCTCTTTATGTTTTTTTTCAGCTATGGACAGCCGTCATTACAAGATGAACTTAAAGACAATACCACTGTCTTCACCAGGATTTTGGACAGACTCCTAGATGGTTATGACAATCGCCTGAGACCAGGATTGGGAGGTAGGTTGCATTATTGTATTTTTGTTTTAGAGAATAATATGAGATCTTTACTATCACAGCCTTAATTTACCTCTAAATGGTCAAATAATAAAAATGGTGACATGTAATTTAATGACAAATCTATTTTTAATGGATCACTCTATGTTAATTCAAGTTACTCTGTAGTTTCATATCCATACGTAGTAAAAGGCAGACACAAACTTCTAATAATGACACGAAGCAGATGCTACATTTATATGATAAGCACAGTACTTTCTGTGTAACGATTTTATCATATAGGTAAAAACTGGGATAATATTCTATCTTCCAGCACAATGACTGCAGCTATCTCACCTGGTACTGGTATGTTTGCATTTAATTCCAACAGGATATCTTTGATTCTATTGGTTCAAACATTTATTTTGGAATATTTCATATTGATCCACTATTATGTGTTAAATTGCCACCACCTCTAGGATAATAGGGGAATGAGATAGATGGTAGTGTTGTGGTTTAACTGTGCATTTGAACTTATACCCTAATTTTCTGTAATACAATTTTATTTTACTTGGTATATCAATTACTCGGTTATATTGATACATTTCTGCTTAGGAAGAAGACAGCACTTAATAACATAATATATATATAACAATAAGAGTAAATAGTTCTAGGAATTGCACACATTTGAATAACACTTGAATAAGATAATCAAACTATCTTATTTGGTTAAACAAAGACTAATGAAGCCAAATCAAAATATTGATCTCAGAGTAAAACAAGTGAAGCAAGGAAATAAATTTTCTTTCAAAGTCACACAGAAAACCAAGGTTAGAATCCATGATTCCCAACTATAGCTGATACTGAACCTTTCCTAAAGCATTTGTAGTAGCTATTTAATAGCAATATTTAAATAGTGATTAAATGGCAATATTAAGACAGCCACTTCTTCTTCATTTAGACAGCACAGATAAGCAAAGAATAAAAAGCTTACAAATTCAAACAATGATTTTTCAACTAAATGGTTGCATGGATTTACAGTTACTTTTAAATAAATATTTTGCACAGTATAATGACATGGTTGTGTATTATGGGTCTATTTTGAAGCTGCCAAATGTCATTAGAGTCTCAGAGGTTTAAGGGAAACTGCCTTGGCAAAGACACAACCCAAATATATGTCAAAGGTCTTACCAGGTGTCCTTTCTAATCAATTTCAAACATTCATTTTAGGACATACTATACAAATTTCCCCAGGTTTAGACTTCACCAAGTTTATATTGAAGTTTTTAGAAAAAATTCTTTAAGTCAAAATAGAGTGGTCACAAAATGGGGAGCCTAATTTTGTATATGATATGTTAAAACACTGCTTGTGTACATTTAAACATCTCAATTGGCTTCAAATTTTTTTTAATTTATAAAATTTGCGATAAATTACAAAACTAGCTAGATGAGGAATGTATGAAAAGAAGAAATAGCCAGGCTAGTGATATAAATTTTACATAGCAAGACTTTTGAAAATACTGGTTGTAATGTATCTGATTACTTTACCTAATCTCCTCCCTACCCTATGATCTCATTCCCTAAAAAGTCAGCAGAATTTTACAACATATTTAAAAAATTTCTCTTCATCCTAGTTTAGAAAATTCTATTTAATATTTTGGCATGTAAATATGAGTATTATTTGACAGATTTGTGCATCATCTTCAATTTATTAAATAGTTTTACACACAAACTGTTAAAATATTAGCCATGTGGTTATATTATTGTTCAGAGTGCATGTAGCAAACTGTGACTGTTCATTTCCTTTTAATTGCATAGAATAACTCTTTAATAAATGTATACTTTAACCCATTCATCAAATAAATTTTAGGTGAAATTATTTTAACTAATTCTCATATGCACTCCTAGACCCTGGAGAGCCATAGAACTTGAAGATATAAAGATTAGACTGAGAGTATATTGAAAAGCTAATTTTCAATACTGGTGATACTGGTAGATTTGCTTACAGGAATAACTACATTAATTCATACTGCCACACTGCTATTTTTGTAGAATCTACTTTTATCATCCAGTTAATCCCAGAAAATAACAAAAATAGATATGTATTTAAAGAGCAGAAATAGTAGTTGTCCAAGTATAGACAAGCTATCTTCCTTTTAGTGAAATGAGCCTAATATGCTACAATAATTCCAGGACTTGAGAAAATTAACAGTGGATGTGCTTTTATCTTTACTAAAGATGGTTTTTCTGATATTTCTGATTCCTGGTAACAATGCCTTTTGAGGGTATGATAGAAATTAAAACAAACAAAAAAGTAGCTCAAATATTTTCTCTATTTTTATTCTAAACATCCTATTGGAATTTAGTACACTTAAATGTGATGGATTTGAGATTTATGAAAAAAACTTTGATACTGATTAAACTTTTTTTTAAATATTCTTTTTTTGGAATTTTTTTTAATCCTTAAGGAATAAAATGGCACATGTTTATTACTTATATCTACAGAGTCATCAACATTTTAAAGTACATTTTGAGAAGGTATCTGTCATTAGAGAACTATAGTTTAAAATACTAAGTACAGTTTTAAGACATCTTGAAAAACATAACCAGCCATAGACTTAGAGAAATGTGATAATACCATGATAGCTGGCTGCTATTAAGTTGACATTATTGTGGCTTTTTTTTTATTTTTGCAGATTTGAAGTACTTAATTTTATTCATCTACCATGAATTTTTGGTACTTTAAGTATGACATGCATCCCAGTAGATCCCAATTGCAAAACAGACCCTCCCTTTTTACTTTTTTTTATAGGAGCCATTTGCCTCCAGATGAAAAGACTATGTAAAGGAAATAAGTGAGATTATCATTAGCTTCTAAGGGAGTAAAAGTTTTCCCTTAGTAATTTTATGATCACAGCTAGGATGATTTCCTCTTGCAACATAAAGGTGCCCACTGTCTTCTTTATTATGACAAAAGTCTTTTTTTATATAAAAGTAACAACATTATGCAAAAAACGGGGATTTTTGCTTCTGAATGTCCTCAGGAAATAGAAAAATGTGATAAGCTGAGACTTGAGACTAATACAAGAAACTCCTGTATTTGCAAATCCATCATGACCTGTTTTTTAGAAACACACACTGCATCAGAAGGTATAGCACTGTTCTTAGTTTATATGTACCTTGGATTCAATAATTAGAAAACAAAATATATAACTTGGTTAATCTAGATGATAGGAATCAGTTTGCAAATACTGTAAAACTATTTTAAAAGACTGCCTTTTCAGGGATAAGAGCAACCATGCAGAACTGCAAATAAAAGGATGACTAATAAAGAGGTATCTCCAGGAAGGGATTTTTAAAGGTAGGAGAGCTACAAAGGATTAGAATACGTGGAATTCTAAAAATTTAATATGGTCTATTTGGGATTGTAAAGAGAAAAATAAGATAGCTATGTTCATAATTTAAGTGCAATGTCAATGAAGACACTTTTAAATAGACTTGAGTTAAAATAATCAGTATCCAGAAAATAAAACTAAAAATTATCAGTAATTACTGGATTCATTCTTGTCCATAATCACTTTATTTGGTGGCAAGGTGTGGGGGGCTGCTACTTTCTTACAACTAGAAGCTGAGCAATGTATTTGAAAGAACTCTTACCTAAAGCATGGTCAGTGTAGAAGAATAAAATAAGGAAAAAAGGATAAAAGTCAGAAAAAATGGGAAGATGTGAAAGAAAAAAGTTAAAAAAAAAAGGAAAGCAAAAGAGGATAGAAAATAAAGAGAGAACAGAGGGGAGGGAGAGGAATTGAGGAAGTGAAGAAGAGCAAAACAGAGGAAATGAAAAATGAGAGGAATTAATCTCATGAGCCTGGGGAGACTCAAGTGTCCCTTGATCAATTTATATGGCTCTTTTAGTTTTAAATCAGGACGAAACCAAAATTTTCCCAGGAAATTCATTTTCCCAAGTTTTCTCCTCTTTGCCCGTATTATAATAAATGAAGGAAGCCTGGATGTTCTCCAGCTTCCTAAAAAATTAAATAATGCTCCTGCTGTACTGCACCCATCTGCGTGAAATTTCAGTCACTTTCATATTGGCTTCCCCTGCACTTTGGGCATAGGACAAAAATAATCCATAAACAGAGATTTGAAGCTGAATTTTGAAGGAAGATAATCAGGCTTTTATGGATACTTAATACTCTTCCAGTGATATGTTTCTCCTCCCTTTTGCCCCACCATATATACAGGCTACACTTTATTTACAATAAGCCAAAATCCCAGGTGAGCCACACTGATGTACAGTTTATCACTAAGAGGTGATGCCACCAAGCTAAGGGTTTTTTCTTCTTCTGTACATATGCTCATTTCCACATATCTAACTTACAAAAGATGTATTATTCTATAAACACATTCATTTCACTTCTTGGAAAACAAATTAGGGCAGATACTTCTTTAACTAGAACACAAACATGCTATAGCTGAAGGAATGAGGTCTTGAGTCACATTTTGAATTTCCGAAGAAAGACCTTTTCATCCTCTCTCTCCCTGTTAATGGTAGTTCCTGGAAATATTGTTATAATATCTGAATCAGTCTTCAACTTAATATCAGTGTATACTAACTTGGATGATAAATGCCCATCAAAAGTTTTGTCCTCAAACCACATAGATAAAGACAGCAAAGGAAACAGAGATGATTGTGTATTCCTAAAACGACAAATCCTGAGAGAAGAGTGGAGAGGCAGATGATAGAGAAGTAAGATTGTAGGTAGAGAATGGCCTACCTTTATCCCTGCTACACATTTAACAGATATTTAGTTAACATTTTCTTTTTCCTGTAAATGTTGTAGATTTGGATTTTTTTGGTTTTGGGGGTTTTGTTTTGTTTTCATTTATAGAGTTTCTTTGACAGCGTCAATTAGAAGAGCGTTAGTAACTGGAGCTGTCTCTGAATGTATTTTAACAGTAACATATTATTTTACAAATCATTTATGCCTCAGAGCAGACTTTCTCCTTACCATCATATTTTTTCCTAATCTTGAATTATTTATGCCAATATAAAACCTTTAAGACTAACCTTTAGCCTAATTGTTGCAAGAGATCTCAGCTTTAAGATGTAAGAATTCCCAACTCCTAATGCAAGGCAGCTGGGTTGGAAATTCCCTGCAGTTGGCAAGATGCTGTTGGCTTCTTAGGGAATTGGCTTGGGTCTTGGGTTCCATTTCTTTATGTAAAAGTAAGAAAAAATGGAAAACTAAGAGTGCTCTAAAAAGATCAAAGTATTTTTTGTGCAACTTTGTAAAATTTAGGTGACTCGAGGATAGGGAAAGCAGCACAGTTTAATTCTTTTAAAATTCAACTTTGAGCTGTCCCGGGATGATAAAATGCCTGATATTCATGTGATCTTTTGATTTTTTAATATCCCTTGTAACATTGAGATCAGAGAGAAACATTTTGTTCATGTTCAACTAATGTCAAAATATCTATTTTGTATTTATATTAAGAAAACAAAATTTCAAAAAATAGGACAAGATAATTTCAGTCACAAAGTGATAGCATTAGATAAAATAATCTACATTACTGACGATTTCCAAATAAAATTAAAAGATGGTTAGGTTTATCCAATCTCTTGTTGTTGTTTTTGCTGTGTTTACTTTACTAGAGAATAGCCTTTAGTATTATGTTTTGAAATTCTACTCTGGAATCCTTCCTTTTGAATTTGCTGTCGTTTTCTCTGTGGCTTTTAATGCAAGGTATGGAGCAGATGCTCAGACTTTGGCAAAATGCAATACATTTCCACAGAAATACTGTACCTAGACATTTCATAATTCAACAAATTATAGAGAAAAGGTAGTTACCAAAACCCCAAGAAGAATTGTTAAAATGAACAGAGAATACCTTTTAACATTTACTGGCTGAGGTCTACCATCAGCTCATGAAGCCACATTGTCTGATGAATTTAACTGAGCTACCCAAAGGAATGTTCTAGCGTGTTTAGACAACTTGCTACTTTCATCTTTTCTGTGGTATATAAACTATCTACCTGATCAGTGCCAATATTTTCCTGAGATAAAATGAAACTACTGCCATGTTTGTCTTTCTGTGCCTGCCTTATTTCACTCAGCATAATCACCTCCAGTTGCATCCATGTCACATGTTCTCACTTATTAGTGGAAATTAAAAATCAGAGAAATTAAACCCATGGAGACAGAGAGTAGAAGGATGGTTATCAGGCAGGGTAGGGTAATGGGGGGAGGGAGGTGGGGATGGTTAATGGGTACAAAAGAAAGTACAAAAAAGTAGGAAAAATGACTAAGACCTAGTATTTAATAGCACAACAGGGTGACTATAATCAATAACAATGTAACTGGACATTTTAAAATAACTAAAAGAGTATAATTGGATTGTTTTTAACATGAAGAATAAATGCTTGAGGTGATGGATATCCTGTTTTCTATGATGTGATTATGATGCATTGCATGCTTGTATCAAAACATCTCATGTACCACATAGATATATACACCTATTAGGTATCCACAAAAAATTAGAAATGAAACATTTACAAAAAAGTAACCACTGCAACTATGTCCAAGTTATAAGGTGCACAGTATTAGTAAACAGCCATTTTTTGTGCAGCTACTCTTGACCTTTTTATATAGTTTCAATTTCCTGTGTTGATTCCAGATCCAATGTGGGATTTTAACAAAATGTTGTCTATAGATCATTCCTTTTTTTTCTGGCAGAATCAGAATTCTGTACTTGAAAAATAACGTAGTGTTCCTGAGATGAGAATCTCATTTGCTATACGTCACAGAATGCCATTTTTGGAAAACTTAAGAGAAAGCAAGGCCCTAAGTATTGGCATATTTCTGTAAGATTGTTAATAGTATTATTCTCGTATAACAAAATGCTACCCTGTGAATGTGAAATAGGGTGCCTGAGAGTTATCACAGTTTGTACAATTTTGATCAAGACTTATACTGATTACTCACTGCATGCTTGTATCCAAACATCTCAGGTACTCCGTAAATGCATACACCTACTATGTTCTCACAACAATTAAAAATTATAAAAATTTAAAAAAGACTTCTACTGACCAAAAGAAACCCATTGCTCCAACAGCAAAATATACATTTTTTTCTAAAGATTAGCCCTATGTCCATAGAAACTGCTCATATTACAGCATATGGAGGTAATTTATCAGTGGAAATAAGATAAATAGCTCCTGCAATAATATCGACCTTTCTTCCTAGGACATGCTTGTATCATCTGAGTTCTTGGAATCCCAAAACACTGAAGAATCAGGGACTGGTCAAACGCCTTGAAACTTGGGTGTCTACCCCCATATCTAGACTTAGTAGCTGAATACAGCCAAAACTAAGTAGCTCTACATATCATCTAGGGGATAGTTTCCTGTTTTTCTGAGGCATTAATTGAATGGAGATGAAGGACAGGGGACAAAAATGTTGCTCCAATCAATCAGGTCAGCAGGGAGCTGGAACATTGCTTTATCCAGGAGTATACATTGATGTTTATGTAGGAGCCCAGGATATTTTCAGTTTCCAAACAGGACCATTTTAAAGTAGGGTTTTCAGATACATTTTATTATAATGACTAATATTAGTCCATTTAGTCTCCATGTGGTGCCTACCTCTGTGAATCAATAGACACAAAATAGCTTAAATAAGGCAATAGACCTCCATCATCAGTTATGAACCCATGGAACTGTTACTCTGAGTTCCTCAGCAGACAGCATTTCCGGGGAAAATATGGCCAATACCATATTAAACAAATGGTTGTGATAGGATTACTAACAAAATACCACCTACAATTCTTTCTTATTCATTCCCTCCTCCATTTTTTTTATTACAGTCACTCTTGCATTTCACTATTCACACAGCATCAGCTATCTTCTTAGACTGCAAGTTACATCATTTCATTTCATTACCCAAAGGCTTCCTACTGCATCAAAATAAAGGTCAACTGCTAGCTGAAATGCACAGGGCTCTTCAGATATGGTCCCACCTACCTCTAGATTGTCATCTTGTGCCATGATCTTCAGCATCACCAGGATCCAGATATACTGCACTTTCTGTTTCTTAAACATAACACATTTAACACATTTATTTTCACCTCAGATCCTTTGCCTCCTTCTTTTTTTTAATTTTTTTCCTCTCCTTAATGTATTTCCCTGGATCTTACTAAATTTTTCCCATCTTTAAAGTCTCATTTCAAGTTTTATCTCTTCAAATGACATTTTTTCAGAGCATTTATAATCTGAATTTAATTAGCAGAATGTGTATATATGTGTTTTTGCATAACTCTGTAGGTACTCACATCTCTATCCATCCCCTAATCGACCTAAAATATGTTTTTCCTAAAGTAAGTATGTGGTTTGCTACAGAGGAACAGAAGCATTTACAGTTTTACTCATCATTGTATTACTGTTACCTAGAAGAGTGCCTAAGTGGCACATAGAAAATGTTTAATAAACATTTATTACTAAATTAATGTACGCAATAGATGCCTCTCAAAGTGTTTTGGCACCACAGTGTTATTTGAACATCACTCCAATGCTATGTAGTCATTTGAGCAGGTATTATTTCTTCATCCAAAATGTAAGAATAGAGACTCAGAGAGATTAAAGTATTGCACCTAAAATCACATAGCTTGTTCTCGAGAAAAATCAGTTTAAATCTGAGTATTTAGATGCTTAATCTATTGTGCTTACTACTTATTTTACTACTCTGCTTTTCTCATTTTTGCCTCCAGTACTAATCTCATCTTTTTGAATTATCGCTTCAAAACATATGTTATTTCAAAACTTATCAGCAAGATATCAATATTGTAGAAAATTCCCAGGAAAAACAGATACCTGTTGTCTGGGAGTTAGGGGATGTAATATATAGTATTTGTGTATATATATATATACACATATACAGTGTGTATATGTAAAAGTGAGGATGTGGTTTGAGGAAAATGATTAAGTTTATATTTGAATAGAAAGTGGATGTGTTAGACTATTCTTGAATTGCTATAGAGAAATAACTGAGACGGGTAATTTATAAAGAAAACACGATTTATTGGCTCAGTATTCTGCAGGCTGTACAAGCATGACACTGGCATCTGCTTGGCTTTTGATGAGGGCCTCAGGAATTTCCAATCATGGTGGAAGGTGAAAGGGGAGCAGATGTATCACATGGCAAAAGCAGAAGTGAGAGAGAGAGCCACACACTTTTAAATGACCAGATCTCAGGTGAACTCAGAGATAGAGAGCTCAATTATCACCAAGGAGATGGCCCAAGCCATTCATGGGGATCCACCCCCAAAATCCAAACACTTCCCACCAGGCCCCAGCTCCAAAATTGGGAATTAAAGGTGCACATGAGATTTGGGCGGGGACAAATATCCAAACCATATGAGTGGATTTATGTGGATGGTGGCATTCCAGGAAAGGAAATTTTACTTGTTTTCATGTCTTTCTGAGTTTTTTAAACTTATATTTTGAAGCTTTTTTTTTTCTAACAACATAATGTATTATATAGTTATATACGCCTCAAGCGTACCCTACAGCTTTTGAAATATCTTAGAGTAGCAGCCCCAAATAATTTGGGGAAACATGGGTAAACAAGTTTGACCATATTTATTTAAGACATGATTTCTCAGAGACATTAGGATGTTAATGTTTTCAACAGTGTTAGAAAATTAGCAGAGTTTTCCAGCCACAGAAACTTCCCCCCTTGCTGCCCCGCCACTGGACACTTGCCAAGAGCTGATGACAAATCAAATGAAAGAATTTCTTGGGTATGTGGCAAAGGAGATATATTAGAGAGGAAAGTATAAGGAGGGGTTTATTTTCATTGTCATAAGCTATGTTCTCATTTTGAGCTTTTAAAAGGGTAAACTGCAGATAATTCCTACATCAAGGGGCTCATTTAAGCAGTTTGAAGTAAATTAATTTTTTTTTCTTTTATTATTATACTTTAAGTTTTAGGGTACATGTGCGCATTGTGCAGGTTAGTTACATATGTATACATGTGCCACGCTGGTGCGCTGCACCCACTAACTCATCATCTAGCATTAGGTATATCTCCCAATGCTATCCCTCCAAAAATATTGTATTGTTATTGAAGGGAATATCTCTGATTCAAAATTATTTTTTTAGCTGACTTACACATTATGTGTAGGGTATAACATGACCTTCTAGGGATAAATTTATACTGACAGTCTTAACTCTTCACAAGTAAATTGCTAAGGGAAAAGGGCCAGCTCTTGATTTCTAAAGGAAATGATCATTTTATAAATTCAAAGGAATTTATAAAAGGTGAATCACCTTTTTTATGTTATATGCCAGAGATGCAAATACCCTGGCATATAAATATTTGTACATGGCTAGAAAGATCCTCCAGGTGTTTAAGATACTCTTGGGAAATATATAGTGTACTTTAGCAAGACTTATTAACTCTTTAAGGACTCAAGAGTACATTTTATAAATGTTTGTTTTCTTGCATTAAATCATAACTGAGTTATCCAAATTATTCCCGGGGAAAAATATAAATTAAAAATAATTTAAAAAGTAAATAAAATAAAATAAAATAAAATAAATATAAAAAATAAAAAAGTAAATGAACTGTTAAAGATACTGCACTGCATTTTTCAGAGCTAGAGATGAAAATTATAAAGTCATATTTTTCGTTTTCACCCCTCAACAAATTGTTCCTTTTCTGAAAGCATTGTTTTTCTATTTCTTGGAGAATGGCAGTATTTCTCTGGAAATGTCTGTGTTCAGTTATTATAGCACTATAATTAATATGCTTTATTGGTTGATGTATGTGCCATCAGAGAACAATATAATAAAATCACATGGAATGTGAAACAGAATATATTAAGTGAACTTTTTCTGTGCCATAATATGTTCTTCTCATCCTGAAAATTGAAGAGACTTATATGGGATGTCATATTTTCCCCAGGGAATAATTGGATAACTCAGTTATGATTTAGTGCAAGAAAGCAAACATTTATAAAACATACTCTTGAGTCCTTACAGAGTTAATAACGCTTGCTAAAGTACACTATCTATTTCCCAAGAGGAGCCTAAATACCTGGAGGATCTGTCTAGCCATGTAAAAATACTTAAGCTTAAGCTATACCAACATGTTAATGTATTTTCATTACAATGTGAAGCAGTTTAGTATCATTTAGGCAAGTATGTCCACTCTTGAAGAATTCATTAGGCAGCAGCTGAGTTTTCCATAAAGTCTGCCTCCCAAAGTGGCATATTTAGGCTTCATTCTCCATAGAAAATATTAACTGTGAAATTTTATGTGTAAGCAGTAAATTATCAGGACTACACAGTGGACCAATTTTAGAAATAGCTAATCAAAGACAATCAATTTCCCATTTGGGTGTCAGTATGTGGTGGTGAGATCTAATAAGGACGGTTGACAGACACTCACTCGCCCAATTTCCTGCTTCAACAGAGCGTGTAACCGAAGTGAAGACTGATATCTTCGTCACCAGTTTCGGACCCGTTTCAGACCATGATATGGTAAGTGGACACTTTATCTTTGCTTTTCTTGAAGAATTTTTAAAATTTAACTTTTCAAAGAAAAATATAAACTAAGTTCTTAGGGAGCAACCTGAAAAGTCTTGGCTATACTTTTGTGTCTTTCTGTGTGTAATATGTAATATGTAATATAATATTTATACAATAGAAAAATACTCATTTGCATTCCAGATCAGACCTATTTCCATGATTTTCAACCACTGCAGTCATCTTTTTTTAAAAAATATTTTAAATGATTGGTTTGCCTTGGTTAATACCCCACAAGCCATACAGTATGAGTTATGTTTCATTTTAGTTAGCAGGCCATGTTGATTCAAGGATGCTGTTTTCAGGCAACCAGAACTGTTATAGAATGGCCATAAACATTATGATTTCTAAATTATTTTTGGCTACTAAAAACTAAAAGGAAATGAGTGTAAAAGTTGGCCAGAATTAGACAAAAATACTTAAAACACACCACCAGGAAACATTCTGCTTCATTGCAAAAAGCATTCATTAAAGTATTATCCAGAGTGGAAATACAATGAATCTATACCTGCTCTTTTTTTCTAGTTCAAATAAATTAACATGAATTTCTCTTCTGTCTGATGGGAGTTATAGAGCTCTACAGAAATTATATAATATTCCTGAACTAATAACAGCCAAGGTTCTATATAAGCAAAACATCATAAAGTGGTCATGGAAACATACCATTATGAATATTTCAAAGATACATTAATTGAATACTATTTTTGAAATGCCTCATGTTAGCACCAGCTTACTGTAAAAGTATTTTGATTTCAAAATAGCTCACAGAGGGTCAGAATAAAACTTACAGAAACTATGAATGGCAGAGTAAAAGCCCTGACAAGTTCTGAGGTAAAACAAACAAAACTATATTTTATCTGGTGTTTTCACAATTGTATTTGCCCAAGACCTTTTTTGTCATTTGACCCCTGTTTATATTCTGTAGAACTAATATTCTGTGAAGTGAACGTTGGGAAATTCTGGCCAAGAGGATAATCAGATATTTTAGATTTTAAGACAAGTTTTGAAATATGCCAACTGGACAAAGAAAAATATGTGGAGTATATAAGAGGTAACAGAGTGGTAACTAAGAATGCAGATTTCTGAACCAGATTGCCTGGTTTATAATGCCAGCTACTTCACATAGAAGGGTATATCCTTAGGGAAGTTACTTAATATCTCTCCAGATCAGTTTCTTCATGTATAAGGTGGGATTAATAATGCCACTTAACAAATTTTAGCCATTACTAATATGCAAGAAATATAATATGAAAGTCAATCATACTTGTGAATGTATGCATCTTACGATTTATTTTGTAATTATGGTCAGTCTGTAGACCACTTTATTGAAATAACATGTGATACAATGTGTTTTACTAAATTGACAACTCTCTGAGGACTCATGATTCTCTCATGTTGGAACTCAGTCTTCCCACACTATTCTCTCATGGTACTTTTATAGTTAAGAATGCTTATTAGGTCCCAGTCATGTTTAAGGTCAAATAAAAACTGTTCTGCCTGTATTCCCATAAATGATTTTGCCACTCTCTGTCACTTGTTCCCAATATTAACTATTTGTTTTAGTCCTGCTTTCTGCAAGGCAGTACAGTGTGGGGGTTAGCAGGGCTGGCTCTGGGATTCAAGCTGGTTGAATCCAAATCTCACCATCAGCAGCAGCATGACCTTGAACAAATTGCTTAAGCTTCTAAGGCTCAAAGTCTTTCAAATGTATATATTATTATAGTTGCCTATTCCTTCAACATTTTTATAAGTTTTAAATGAGATGTGCAAATAAAGTGTCTATCAATAGTGCTCAATAAATGATAGCTATTATTATTTTTACCTCTGAGCTCCTTATCATGCCATGCAGACCTCATGGAAATTTCTTCTACTCTTTACCCATCTAAATCAAATACTTCCGCAGAGGCCCAAATCAAGACCCAAACGCTTTATGAAATCATTTTTATTAGTCCAATAAAAAATTGACTTTCCGTTTTTGTATTCTAATCACATGTATTGACTATAAAATACCTTTTAGCTTTCGGCCACATATATAGCACTGCTTTGTAAACTTATTTCTCTTATTTATAAATAAATATCTTATTTTCTTAAATTGTTGCCAAACCTGTAAAGGCACATGTGTTTCACATCTTTCACAGTATTAGTTCATTGTTATTTTAGAGTAAATGTTAAATTACTCTTTTCTTGGTGATAGGTTTAGGAGCCTATAATATTAAAAAAAAAATGAGGTCTTGTGGGACCTAATAAGTTATGCCCTCTTTCTTATCTGTGTTCTGAAACTTTGAGATATAAGACAATAGGGTAGAAGGCATGGGGAATTAAAATGTCATATATATTGCTAATAATGATGATATTACAGAATGTGACTTATATCTGTAGACAAGTAGATTTGCAGAGATTAGGCACCAGAATCAACCAGATTAACCCACCCAGTCATAGGCAGTGTTGACTTTCCTTTGCTGGGGTGTACATTATGCATGTAAAACCTCCAGCATGGAAGAGCACAGGAGAATTTTTCACTCTTATAGGCAGCCAGCAGCCAAATGGAAAAGACAAGAGAAAAGGACTGAAATAGGTAAAATTGATGTTTTTTTTCCAAATTAACCTATCAGATTAAATCCCCTTCCTTCCTTCTTTTTTCCCCAGTAGAAGAATTGGGGAATTGGGAGCATACAGAAATTTCCTTTTTCTCATTGATGAAAACATCAAGAGAGGGCATGCAACATTCAAAAACATCACACACTGATGGCAATACTCATCTTACTACTTATAATAATGTAAAATTTGCTTAATGGCCATTCTATCTCAGTCTCTGGCACCTGGCATGGTGCTCACAGAGTCAATGTCCAATAGGAGTTGTTAAAGGACAATGCCCAAATGAAGCCACAGGCGATCAAAAGCCTTTCTCTTTTCTTAAAAAATAGGTGACATGCCTTTGAGTTATTGCTTCAGATTAATTGTGATTCCATAAACCAATGTTGGAGTTTTTAAATCTTAGAATAGGCTTTTTGATACACCTTCAAACCTGTGATTATAATCTACATTTTATATTTTACATTTGGTCAAATATCAGGAATAAGGAACAGCGTGTCCAACCAACAATATTCCCTATTGCCTAAAACCTCTGAACAAGACAATGTTTCAATTGCTCTGTCAAATGATCAGATTAGCCATAGGTCTGCCACTGGTTTGCTAGTAGCTGGTAGAAATTGTATCTGACCACCTTGCTTTAGAAGATTAATCATTTAAATTACATTATAGGAGAATTGTGTACAAGAAGAAGCAGCATGATTTAGAAGCAATCAAAATTAGAAGGCAGAAAGACAAAGCTATTTTTCAAAATGGGAAAATTTTGTAGTTTTTAAAGTGAGAACTAATAAATTAATCTACGTTAATAACATAACAAGATTTAATGCTATTGAATGCTTACAACACATTAGGCACCATGCTAAATGCTTTCTAGAAATTTCATCTAATCCTTGTGCAAACCTTTTAGCTAAGTATTATTCTTGTCTACATTTCCTGGAGAAGGAAAGTGACCTGCTAGCTAAGTGTAGCAACTTGAACCCAGGTTATTTAGCCCTAGAGACTCCATAGCTCCCAAGGCATCTGACTTCATCTGGAATAGCAAACAAAATTAGGACAATTCTCTAACTTTATTTTAAAAACCATTAATTGGCAATCAAACAGAACATTCCCAGGGCACTAGGTTCTGACAGAAATATCCAGGCAGTACAATCACAGAGCCTTGTTTTCCATAGTGCTTAAAATGTATTAAGTCAAAATACACACAGATGGTAATAAATGGCACAGGCAGGAACACTTCAATACAATATTTATTTAGGAACATAGCGGATGTTTTGTCCCAGATCTTCAGACTAAGACTCACATTCTCCAGGGACCTACACTATTGAACAGAGCAACTCATACTTTTCACTTGAGTGGTGGGGGCTGGAGCCTGGAAACTTGAGCAAATTATTTAGGAGAGGTTTACCTTTGTCCAACCTCTCTTCCACGGAGTCCCCTCTTCTGCATTTTGTTTTTAGTTAACTTGGTTTCGGCCACCTTCTTACTTTCCTTAGATTTCCTTTCCTACAATCCTTCTAAAGAGAAACACATTTTCATGACCAGCTACATAAAAACCTAATATAAATTTGTGTTGATAAAATAATAAAATGGGAGACAGATAATAATTTCTAACTTTTACTAACAGCTTCCTATGTTCTAGGCACTCTTAAAAGATATTCTCACAAGTCTCAACTCACTTCTCACGATTGCAGGGTGAATTATCCCATTTTATAGATTAAGAAACTGGGGACTTAGCAAGCGTAAAATAATTACCTAAGGCCACTCAGCAGGTAGGTTCAGAACTTACATCCATAGTCATTATGCTATAGTTCTGCTGCTCGCCTCTCTCTTTTTCTAGCTTCCTTAAGAAGGGGCTTTGGCCAGGCACAGTGGATCACTCCTATAATCCCAGCACTTTGGGAGGCCGAGGCGGGCGGATCACCTGAGGTCAGGAGTTTGAGACCAGCCTGACCAACATGGCGAAACCCCATCTCTGCTAAAAATACAAAATTAGCCAGGCCTGGTGGCGCATGCCTGTAAATCCCAGCTACTCGGGAGGCTGAGACTGAGCCAGGAGAATAGCTTGACTCAGGAGGTGGAGGTTGCAGTGAGCTATGACCGCGTTATTGCAGTCCAGCCTGGGCAACAAAGAGTGAAACTCCTTCAGAAAAAAAAAAAAAGGAAAAAGAAAAAAAGAAAGAAAGAAAGGAAGAAAGAAAGACAGACAGACAGAAAGAAAGAAAGAAAGAAAAAGAAAGAAAAAACAGAAAAAGAGGGGGTTCTGGCTAATCTTCATCCAGAAGCCCACTCTTGGTCTAATGAACTGTGCCCATGGGGCAAGGTCATCTTATAGGACTAGCTTCTGGGAACTACCTGCTGCTACCACAGCAATCACACAGGGAGAGTTCTCAGAAATGGGAGACCAAATATTTACACTGTTGGTTAGGCAGAAACTAATTTTCATCAACTGCTTTTATTTCATTTTGTATTTCAACTTCTAACAGTGCAGAAAATGGAAATGAAGATTAACCAGCGAGTGTTGCTCTGTGTGTGTGTGTGTGTGTGTGTGTGTGTGTGTGTGTGTGTGTGTGTGTGACTGGTACAGTATTTGAAGGAAGAATGTCCTAAATGAATTTGGGGATTCCATTGTCTGTCATTAGCACAAATAAAGCTGGTGACAAACACAATAAACATGTGAACATCAGGATGTTGGCAAGTCTTGACATAATTTTTTGAAATTATTGCCTTTGGGATACATCTTGTCAAAGATTTGGTAATACATCTAGTTTCAGTTTAGTTTATACTTAACATTTATTTTATTTTCATAAAACCTCTTTGGAGCAAGCAAATAAAATGAACCAAAGGCTCGATTCATGGGAACGTGGTCACCTTCAGCATCCTTGGAACTTTGATTTGCAGGTGGCCATTCATTCCTTCTGCTGTTGACCAATCTAAAGTCATTCAGTTGGACAGAAACTAGAGCTTATATGGCTAAGACCTGAGTAACAGAAAATTTCGTCACATATTATATCCCTACCTCACAAGCTTGTCTGTCATCCAGAGAGGAAAACCTGCACATCCTGAGGTAGATCCATCCACCCAGTTTTCCTGACAGGCATTGGCACATTGTATCACTTGCTGATATCATCCACAGTCTCCCTTCCCATGGAAAATACTATTCTATGCCCATCGTACACCTTCATGAGTTTTTCTTACAGTGCCCAAGCTTAAACAGTCCCTCCTTTGCTGAATTTATTAGGTGCTTAAGAGATATTTGTTGGTGAGTAAATTCCCTTTATGTATCTATCACAGTGCCTTTCATCTGACACTTCCAGACACAAAATCCTAACCAGGAAACAAGGTAACTTGTCTTGTCTACAAAGACAGTCTGTCACCGGATTACACCTCCTTGTTTCTATCTCAGTAAGCAATTAGTACTATATCTGGTGCATTATAATACATTTAATAATAATTGTTAGTTACTTGATCAGTAAGGGCTCAGTAATGCCAAACATGTGCCAGAGAACACACCTTCATTCAGCCTTCACCCAGTATTGCTTAAGCCCTTGGAAGGAGACATGTAGTTAAGTTCGTACACGAAACTCCTAAACACATACATTTTATTTTGTAGGTCCTAATAACGATATGTTTAACATTTAAAAAACACAACTGCCTTGTGATGTAAAAGGGCTTAAAGGATTAGGAAAATGTAGTATGATGTTTTCAAGTTAGTTCTCTTTCTGGTTTGGAGTATACTTAGATTAACGGAGAATGTGGTAATCTCTATTTCAAACCATTGAGCTCCAAATTTAGTGCCAGTGTGGCAAATACTGCAAGAAAGATGGATATTACCCTTTTCAATTTTAGGAGCTGGTAAGTCACATTGCTTGTTTTCAGATTAGCAGATGTTTGTCTCTGGGTATTGCCATAAGGAATGCTGTGTTTATTCAAATAAATAGATTCCCTGGCTGTGAATGATGATGAGCTTCAAACATTTCTCATGTGGCTTATACACATGTACAATCACAAACACATACTCACACACACCGACATACTCTGCATTCTTATTTTTGTTCTTTTTCTTTTTGAAAAGGATTCAAATTACCAGTAGAAGCAGTTTCTTTGTTTTCACAATCTTCTTTAATGTGTAGGATAATTGAAAGTCTATATACATTATCTGTGAAAAAAATGTTTATTTCGCCAAAAAAAGATGGAATTTTTACATCCATATTGGAATCACAATTTACTTGGGTGTGGGCATGAGGTTTTCAGAGACAATGAGAGGGCCCCCAAAACACTAGGCTTTATCTTTATGGCTGGAATTGTCTAATTTAAACATTTTTTTCCTGTGCATAATACCCTCTAACATGAGTTTGTTTTAAAATTGTGATATATTCTATTTCTTCTAGTGCTGCTGTGATAGGGTGGAGGTGGGGTGTTACTTTCCTTTTACATATCTGAGCAGATAATTGGAAAAATTTTTCTGACCAAAAAATATGTCAGGCATTTTAGATATTTTTTTTAAAAAATCATTACACCAACCAGTGATTCTCCTGACATCAACATGTACATGCTATCACACGTTTACTTCTAAAAACATCACCTAGCTAACATTATACTTCCAAAGTTGCAAAAATTATGCACTGTCTGCGTTAGATATTTGCATTGCAAAATACAGCACAGTGAACTCTTCGTCATTTTCCAAAATTACCTAGGAATATACAATAGATGTATTTTTCCGTCAAAGCTGGAAGGATGAAAGGTTAAAATTTAAAGGACCTATGACAGTCCTCCGGTTAAATAACCTAATGGCAAGTAAAATCTGGACTCCGGACACATTTTTCCACAATGGAAAGAAGTCAGTGGCCCACAACATGACCATGCCCAACAAACTCCTGCGGATCACAGAGGATGGCACCTTGCTGTACACCATGAGGTAAGGATGGCTGCACTGCCATTCATGAATGTTTCTGTACTTCATTCCCTTCCACTTGTAGGCAATCATCAGGCTGATGAGCCATGGTGGAATATTTGCTTCCTTGTTTTTCAACCTTAACAATCTTAAAAATCTCTCCAACCTGTTCTAATTCCCTCAGTCAAGGATGAAGTATTATTTATGCAAATGTTTATTTGCTTACATCTAGTTTTATTCTTAAATAATTTTCTGTAGCTAGGTGGATTCAATATAAGGAACTTCCTCTCCCTACTATAAAACTCATATATTCCTTCATTCCAGTAAGACCTAAATTTCTAGAAGCCATCTAATGATCTACATCTGAAAACATTCCTACTAAAAATGAAGTAATAAAAAACAAAAAATATGGAAAGTTACAAAATTCATAAAACACAGATTCATGTAGACATAGGTATTTTAAGAAGTATTTGAATTCACAATGGCGTTGATAGCTAGACGAGAATATAGATACTATTAATTTTGCTCAAACTAAAGACTACGTATACATTTCTGTTTTATAAACATTTCCCTCTCTTTAAGATTGCTGTAAAGCTTAGCATCTATTAAGTGTTGAATACCTTATGACTGAATGAAGGAAACATGAATCAAATAAAGTTTTGAATTTTATATAGAAAAAAAGAGATGTTTAAAAGTATTCCTCATTTATGAGAAATTAAGAATTGTCTGGAACTCATTCTTGAGAGCAGCAGTAATTTATTCCCAGATGACTTGTTAGATACGAGTTTTTTACATTTGGTCAATACACAGTAATTCAGATTTTTCAATTATTTCTTTGGTACAAAAAGGTAATAAAGGTAAAATCCTAAATTTATGGATTGTATGCAAGTACAGTAATATTTTGCCTTTGGAGAAAGCTGCCAGAATGCCTAGCTTTTCAAATGCAAACATCCAAAAGAAAAGAAAAGAAAAAATTCTTCAAGAGACACTTTGGATATTGAGCCAACTAATTAAAATGTATTAGGACTTAAAAAAATCTAAAAGATAGAAATAGAGGACCAATGGACACATGTGTTGAGAACTTTCTAGATTATCTAAGCAGGACCTATTCGTAATTGAAATTTGAAATATTCCCCCCTGATGAAACACCATACACTTGGCTTTGAGCCTAAATCCAGTACTCATTCCTCTTAGATGGCAATTTTCTGAGGAGAGACTTGCATATCCTAAGTGGTTTATTGATTAATGGTTTCTGATGTATACAGTGTTCTTCATCTGTATCTTTCATCTCCTAAAATTTTCCTTTGCTAATGTGTTTTTACTTTCTTTAATAATTTAATTTAAGAATGCAATTTAATCATAAATTTATACTTTGTATATTTGCTTTAGTTGGTATTCTAATCATTTAATGATTGACTATAAATCTATCTTACTACGTTTCTTGAGCTACTTAATAATATGGGTAAATATGCTTGCTAAAAATCATATGAAGGACATGAATATCAATTTCCTTATAATTCTACAAACTGAAAGCAAATATATTTCAGTGAACTTCTTTCTTAGCAATCCAAAAAAAAACAAAACAAAACAAGAATAGATTTCACATCCACAGAACATCCCAGGGACTAGAGAGAAGCACAGCAGAGTCCTAGCTTCAATTAGATGGTGGGTTTGTAAATAAAACGAAATGGTTTGCAAGTAGTGAGATCATGTATGGAGATGTTGTATTAATCTTAATCTCACAAAGCCTGAGGACACATCCCCCTTCAGCTTTTCCTACCTTCTTCTATGCATTTGGTGCTATTTTAGAGAAAGAAGCAGAGAGAGATGCACTTAGAACAGGAGAAATTCTCTTCTCTTCCATGCTATCCATGTCTTCCTCTCAAGCAAGGATAAAGTAGTATTTACGCAAGTGTTTATTTGCTTACATCTAGTGTTATTCTCAAACCATTTGCTATAGCTGAGTGGATTAATTAATGGTCGTTTTGGAAAATATTAACAAGGCTTGCCCATTGTACAATATCAGGGGTTGCCTTGTTTCTTAAAGCAAACAAACAAAAGGATAGAATCCACTCATTATTGTAAATATGTATTTTTAGATCATTTGATTATTAACAGCTCAGCATAACCCTGCAATTATGCCTTCTTTGTTAATATATTTGCTACAGTTAATAACATTCCACTTGTACTTATCAAGAAGTATCTAATCTATATGGCTCTTGTTTGTATTCTATGTTTCCCTTAAGGCTGACAGTGAGAGCTGAATGTCCGATGCATTTGGAGGACTTCCCTATGGATGCCCATGCTTGCCCACTAAAATTTGGAAGTTGTGAGTAAATTTATATGGACTTTTCTTGATTGTAAGTCATTAAGCAAGAGATCTCTAGCTATATCTGTGAGAAAAACGCGTAGATAAGGGAATCAAGAAAATTTAAACAGCAATATACCACATGGACTTTCCATAAGTAGTGCTCTGTGACTTCACTTTTTAATGTTGCTTCAAGAGAGAGCTTATTCTTTATCTACTGAACTAGAAAGCATGGATTAAACTAGTTATTGAAATAATTCTATTTATGCTGAATTTGTATTTATAGAAAAAGAAGTGAAGTATGGATGCTTCTACCTCATGGATAATATTTTCCTCTCAATTAATGGAGATCATTGTGTCTATTTTATATCTTTACTGACACTTGTTTGATCTTAAAAATAATTAAATTCGTTTACCAGATTAAAGTGTTGGTAAATGGCAAAGGACAGTAAGTGTTTCTTAATAATGAAGCCTACACCAAACTGATGTTGCAAAAAACACAAATACCCTAATCATAGTCTTAGAAAATTAGCTGATATGTGTGTGTATCTCATGGCATTCATATATATATATATATATTAGTGCTCTTGAAAGTATCCTGGATAAATGCCCTTCATAATAACTTCCTGGGTTTCAGCTGTTTGAAAATATTCAGAAACACCTTGGAGCAGCCAAGAGAAAAATGACTGTGAGAGTCAGGTTCTCCGGTCTTTTCTTTACCCTTCTGCTTTCAACTGGTTTACATGCATGGAGTGAGTGGGAATAATGTATTCTTGGTTTCCTGCAGGGGAGTTATGTACAAGGACTGAGTCAACTCCTGGACTACCTAACCGATTTTCTGTTCTCACTAGACAGGCAGTCTAAATGACTATTTTGGTGAAGATATGATTCATAGAAAAATAACAGTGGTAGTGTAGGAAGACAGAAAGTAAAGAAAATAGCAAAAGGCCTTCGGGCTCCTAGCAGCATCAGTCCTGGAGAGAGAATTTTATTTATAAATCCCATTTTGTACTGAAACTCGAAGATAAACTGCTTCAAAAACTCTAGGTTAAACAGACATTTGGTGATAACTCCCTTCTCCCTGCTTTTTTCCCAATTTAATATACATTCCTTAATATGAACGATTATGTTTTCTCCTGAATAACAGATCCATTTGTAATAATGACAATATGTGCTACATGTTACTTGCATGTCAGATAGTACATTAAATATTTGTATATTTATAAGTTCATCTAAATCACAACCTAATCTTACAGTTAGGAAGATCATACGCCGTAGTTTGCCTGGGACAGTATCGGTTTATGCCTAATATACTGGTATACTTTTTTTAAGAGACAAGGTCTTGCTCTGTTGCCATGGCTGGAGTCCAGTGGCACAATCATGGCTCACTGCAGGCTTGACCCCCTGGGCTCAGGCAATTGTTCTGCTTTAGGCTTTTGAGTACCCAGGACTACATACATGTGCCACCACGCCTGGCTGATTTGTAACTTTTTTGTATGGTTGTGGTATAGACAGGGTCTAGCTATGTTGCCCAGTCTGTCTCACACTCCTGGTCTCAAGTAAACCTTCCACCTTGGCCTCCCTAATTTTTGGGATTACAGGCATAAGCCACAGTGCCCAGCCTGGTATAAATACTAATAATTCCCCCTTTTATCTTAAAAAATCCTAATTTGGAAAATGAACTGCATATTTTTAAAAATTAGTCAGGAATGCTTTCAGCAGTGAGAATAGCTGAAAAAAGGAGAGTTTATCATTTTATATAAGATGTGTGAAAGTGAGTGCTGATAGATTTCTGATTGGTTCAGCATCCTAACAAGGCCACTGTCTTAAGATGTCTTTAGATATTCTTTCTCATCACAAGATGGCTGCTGTAACTCCAGTCAATGCAATTCTGTTTGTGATAGAAGGTAATAGTTGGTAAAAATGAAAGGAGTAATGCCTATACGAAAAAGATAAAAGCTTTCCCTAAAATCCTAGTGGAAATCTACTTACATCTCATTAATCAAATGTCTCACATTGCCAATGATATTTGCAAAGAAGGCTGGAAGTAAATATTTTTAATTGGACACATTGTCAACCTGAAGAATATTAGAGGTATTTTAAGAAGAGGTAAATGTATAGTGAGTAGAAAACAGTGTCTCATATAAGAAAATTGAAGCTAAAGAAAAATAAGTAAGCTGTTTTCCACCTCAGAGCCATATGCTCTTTTCTTTGCTTGGATTACTCTTCCCTTGGTTCTTAGCATGGCTGACTTCTATCTCTCCACATGTCAGCATAAATGTCATCTCCCAGGGCCTTCCCTGATGACCTTATCGAAATTTGCTTACAGTCTCACCAGTCTTGTTGATCACAATGCACATTTATTTTATACCATTTATCACAGCAATGATGATTCATTTTATTTATTGGTTAACTTTTGTATTGCCTGGAGACTGTAACGTCACGAGAGAAGGACATACTTTGTTCAGCTTTTCCTAGCACAAAGGCAAATACACTGTAGGTTCTCAGTAAATATTTATTGAATGGATAAAGGTTACAAGACTCAGGCTTTAAATGCCCCTTCACTGTTTAAGCTTCAGAAAAGAGAGTGTAAGACCTGTGGGGAATGAAACAGAGCAGACTAGACATTGAAGTGCAGGCTTTGACGGTCATGCTTAGCGGAAAAGAACACCATGGCTAATTACCACTGCCTGGCATTGGCACAAGAAGAGGCAGGGGCAGTCCATTTGTTGTCCAGTCATTTCTCTGACCTGGCCTACTTAGCATATTTCAAAGGTGAAGAAACTGAGGCAAGAATGGGCTAAAAATATTTTGACTCATTTTTCGAAGTAAACACCTTGCCGAAATATCAGAGAAAAGAATAGACAAGAGGAGTTTTCAATAATTTAGTGGAACAGTCTGTAATAAATGTTTATGAATATTCTGAAGCAACCTTATCCATATGGTGATAAAATCTAAAGTTGAGAAGCAGTCTTTCTTACCGTTCTCTATTAGATTCTGATTGTTAAGGCTAACTTAAACTTTCTACTGGTTATGGATAAAGCTCTCTTTATAAAGTCAGCTAACCCGAGGGCAATGTGCATGATACAACTGTGATCGTTTCACTGCTTTTGAGAAATATACCAAATAAGGCTTTGTTTCCAAAAGAAGAGATTTGGGTTGCAGATTCTGACATAAAGACCTAGGCAAAAGCTGAATCTATTAAGGCCTTAATATATGATTGTCTTTTGGCTAATTATCAAAAAACAATGCATTGCAAACACACTGAGAGGAATGAGTCAAAATTTGAATGAATTCTGAACAATGTACGACTTTAGAAATCATTTTGTTCATGTGGCTCATACAAATGGAAACACAGAGACTCATAAAAGTGAAATGATAGTGTCAATTAGCAACTCTCCTGATACTAAGTAATATATGTTCCCAGTGTTTTACCACCACAGAGTTCTTTCATAACACCAACCAAAACCTTCTTGTCTTTTTTATTTTATTAATTAATGTTTTTGAGACAGGGTCTCTCTCTGTTGCCCAGGCTGGAGTGCAGTGGCACAATCAGGGCTCACTGCTGGCTCAACCTTTTGGGCTCAAGTGGTCCTCGTACCTCAGCCTCCTGAGTAGCTGGGACTACAGGCACATGCCATCACACCTGGCTAATTTTCAAATAAATTTTTGTAGAGACAGAATTTTGCCATTTTGCCCACACTGGTCTCAAACCCCTGGGCTCTATAGATCTGCCCATGTTGGCCTTAAAAAATCCTGTGACTGCAGAAATAAGCCACCGTGCCCAGCCACCTTGTGGTCTTATTTCTAAAACTTTTTTGGGGGCATTATAATTTATTTGAAATTGTAACTTAAAATTTTTGGCTAAGTAGCTGAAGACTCTTTTTAATCTCACTTTTCTTATGCTGATGTCTCTGGTCAAGTACATTTTCATAGGAACTATTTTCTGGTTACTAAAATTTAAGGAAACAATAGGATATATCATCTTTGCTAAGGCCTTAAGTATATCTGTATTCTCCATCTTAAAATACTAACTTGCATCAGGTGAATCTACCCTTCATTTTGGAAGATTCTCATGGAGAGACATGGATAATGAGTCATCTGCACCTTCACAATGATGTCATGTTTGTAGTAGATGGCCTATACATTTTCATATGCAATGGTGCTTCTATGAAATTGCAAGAAATGAGACACCAAAATTATATAAAATGAAAAGTCAATGGTAACACATTTTTCCCCCTCTACAACTATATTAGCAGCTCCGTAACAACACATGACAAAGTATAAAAAGATAGGGTGCAGACACTTTTGCTAACAGCAGTGCAATATAAAAGCAAGAGTTTTAGTTTGTTGTGAAATGACACAAGATCTAGACTTGGTTTCATCACTAATTGCACAACCACCAAATATCTTTGCTTGGCTTATGCAAACCTATCTAATATACAGTTTTGCCTAGAAAAACACTTACAAAACACAGTAAAGTCAAATGAACGGCATCCTAAGTCTTTATCTTGGTTTTCCCAGTTATTAGTAATGTCTGCTTAAACAAGTCATTTATTTTTTTCCCTCAGTTTACCATCCGTAAAATGCAATTAAACTCTATGACTTTTGAGGCATTTGCAAATTGAACATTCAATCATTCCATGTTACCATAAACTCATTATGTCTTCTTAGGTAAGATGCTTCCATTAAAAAACAATAATTTATCATATTAAAATATTAGTAAATGTGGTTATCTACAAATTGTAAACGATAGGGTCCTTCTCAAACTAGTGTGCTCTGCCTTCTTCTAAGAGATTTGTAAATCACATTTTACATCCCTCCTAATAGACACAGTACTGCTATACACAATGGTGAAATGCTTTCATTTTTAAGACCATGAGGATAACCACAATTAAAAAGGAAAAACAAAGATAAATTCAAAATTATCCATTTCGTACTTTTACATGTCCCATGAACCACTAAATTTTTAGTTCATTCTCTTAAACTTATGGAAAATTTTGTTTTTAAAAACCATCTGATTATAAATTGATGCAGAAGTGATATTGGAACTGGCAGGCTACCCTTATAAAATCAGGGAACACTGGCTACATTTTTCTGCATCACTCACCTCAGTGAAAAGTAATCACATTAGAAGCTTTGTTTTAGGGACTGAAAGGCATGGCTCACATCTTTTTTCAGACAGCCTTATTTTCATGTAAAAAAGCAACTATAGTTTTACACCTCACTATATCTTATCTGGGGAAAATGTGTATTGGACAGAACACAAAAGCCTGGTTATTTAAGTGGGGATTGGGTCAAACAGAGGTGCATTATGACTTTTATGAGCCCTAGGCACTTTTGCCTTTGGAGGCCATTCCTCCAAGAAGAAAATTAAAATTATTTCATGACCAGGTTGCTACAAAGATGAATATAATCCAGATTATATTATATTCACTTTATCTTTGGATTTCAAAAGAAATTAAAATATTTTTGTGGCCTCCTAAAAGTATTGAGGGCCTCAGGCCCTGTGCCTAATGGAGAAGTTGACTGTTGGCCAATGAGTCAAGCTCTTGTCATAGGCCAACATTTACTATGATGCCTCCCCCTCAAAAACACTGGAAACAGCTTGCTTTTTCTAAAGTGATATTTTCTTTAATGTTTAACCTCATTCTGCATCTAAATAGAAGAGAGTACGTACTATCATTCCAACCTATGTGAAGTGGGTGTTATAGGACTAGAAATCAGAAAAGGTATGGAATTCCTTTTCCTTCTCTTTCTCTCTCACTCTATGCAATCTCTCCCTCTAAACTGTGTAAATTATCCATCAGAATTATGACCTAACCTCTTATTAGGAGATGGCCAAGTTCAAAGTGACATGGCAAATAAAAATGATTGAGAAGAGTGATAGAATGTAACTCATCATCATGGAAAATATCTATAAGAAGGATAATCAGTAGAAAAGAGGAGAGTAAACTCAGACTTGCTAATGGACATGCAGCAAAATTTCCAGTGATTTTTACATTTATCATGACCTTCGCATTTAACATGACCTTTTCCTGGCTTAACAATAATTTGGACCAAAGCTACTGCCTCTAACCTCATTTCATCTCTCATATGCTTCACTCTAGTCAAACTGGTCTTCCTCAAACTAGTCAAGCTTTTGCCTGCAATAGAAGAAAACACTTGGGAGGCTGAGACAGGAGGATTACTTGAACCCGGGAGGCGGAAATTGCAGTGAGTTGAGATGGTGCCACTGCACTCCAGCCTGGGTGACAAGAGTGAAACTGCATCAAAAAAAGAAAAAAAAAAAAGAAGAAGAAGAAGTAGAAGGAGAAGGAGAAGGAGAAGGAGGGGCAGGGGGAGGGGGAGGAGGAGGAGGAGGAGAAGGAGAAGGAGAAGGAGAAGAAGAAGAAGACACTTGTTAGTTTGTCTATTGGACAAACTCTTCCCCAAGATTTTCACATGCATCTGCCATGTATTTGTATAAATGTTACCTCCTCAGAGACGACTCTGTCTGAGCCCCTTACCTTACTTAGGATAAGTCTCCATCCCTTCATTCTCTATCCTTTTACTCGGTTGTGTATGACTCTATCACACTTATCTCTACTTGAAATTACATACGTATTTGCTTATATGTTTTTGTCCCCACTGCTACAATGCATATTCCATAAGATAAAGAACATTTGTTCTTATATTCACTACTGTATCCCCAGCACAGTATTTTGTCCTTTGTAGATCCTTATAACCATTTGTTGGAAGAGTGAATAAATGACTAAAAAAAAAAAATCAGAAAACGTGTTTTAGTTTTTGTAAATTAAGGGACATAAGCTCATCTTTCCTAGCCTGCCCTCTGGAACCATGATATAGAAAATATGAAGCTGATGAAAGGTACCAACTAAATAAGAGAATTGAAGTGGTAAAATATATGGATCATTTTCTACTGTTTCCTTTTAGATGCTTATACAAGAGCAGAAGTTGTTTATGAATGGACCAGAGAGCCAGCACGCTCAGTGGTTGTAGCAGAAGATGGATCACGTCTAAACCAGTATGACCTTCTTGGACAAACAGTAGACTCTGGAATTGTCCAGTCAAGTACAGGTAAGTACGATTTTGTTACTTCAGTTATGGAGGAAGAAGAAGAATAATATTTTGTGAGAACTCAATGAATCATTCAGTAACACAAGTCTAGGAGAGAGAACATTTCACTAAATTGGGCATCAGTTGAGCTGGGAACTAATGTAAACTCGGTAGACCTGTGACCTTGGACATGTCATTTAATGCCTCTTGGCCTCTGTTTCTGTTTGTTTGTTTGCAAATTGAGAAACTGGCTATAAGTAATTACTGTAGCACAACAGGTAGCTATGTGAACTCTTAGAGATGAACATCTGGGTTAAATCCTTATTCCCCAACCTTGTCAGTTGTTTGTAGTCCCCTTGCAGGGTGGTTGGAAGAAATACATTAAATTCTTAAAGAGTACTTATCACAATTCCTGACCCATCAAAAGCTTTTCATAAATAACTATTTATATAGTCTAGGCTCCACATATTACCATTAGTTAATGAATTTTGCTAAATTTGTAGCAGTGATTATTACACGCAGGACATCAAAAAGCCAATTCCTTCTACAAATTCGTTTGTATCTCTAACCAAGCATCTTCCGCAGCTAAAGCCAACAGAGTCATAACCACATTATTGATCACTCCATGTGGGAATTAAAAGTAGGTAGCATGCCATCCTTTTTAGTGTAGTAACTGATTTACTAATTCTATACTCAGAACTAGACCTGACACTGTGGAAAAGCTGGACCCACATCTTTAAAGTTGTTTCGAACAATAAGATAAAAGTTTTGTTATTCAAGTGTCCATTTTGTACTATCTGAAATGTGATCATCAGACCAGATAATTATAAATAAAAACTGGACTCAAACAATTAGAAAAATACATGCCCCACAAAGCCCATTATTTACTGAAAGCTTTAACGAGGGTCAAGAATTATTTTTCCAAAATTATGTCTTTCAAAATTTAAGTTGACTTTATTCACTCTTATTTTTTATTTCTAAGGAAATACGATTTAGTAGTAAATAAGAGGAGTGGTGATAAAAAAAACTTCTTCTGATTTCATGCTTTATATTGGGACCCTCACAAGCATAATACATTCCAATAATAGGTCGACCTCTCTTGCTATGATTATTAGACAAGTTCTGACTAACAGGATCTGTCTCTTGCTTGCTTAGAAGCCCTCATTGCTAGCCCAGAAGCTTAAATGTTTATGTGTTTTATTTTTTTTTTAAAAAATGGAAACTGTTTCTCTTTTTTTCTTATTTCAAATCCAAGTGGCATAGTGGAAAGGTCATAGGCTTTGTAGTGAGGGAGATGTGAACTCAAGTTCTGATCTTGTCGCTTAGAAGCTTTGTGACTTTGGGCAAGTCATTTGTTCAGTTGGAAACTCTAGTATTGCCTAAGTAATGATAGTCCTGTATTTTGTATTAAAGATGAAATAATATAAAATATTGCAGAGTGTTATATAATAGGTACTCAAATGGTAAGTAAGAGCTGTTGCTATGGTCCTGAAATACCCCAGAACATGAAAAATGCTCAAGATTTTTCCTTCTTACAACATATTATGTTGGAAAAGATATGAAAGTAAGCTGTGTTTACTTTTTAAAACTTGAATGTCATTATAAGCTGGATATAATGGCAGTCACTACAGATTAAATGATAGACAAGCTCAGATTTTGCTGTCATGGAACTTGAAGTCTAAAAGAAATTGAACACATAAACTGTAATTATCAAAATAGGTAGTTTAAGTGCTGTGATTAACATTTTTTTGTGATGGAAGAGACCACATCTGTCTTCTCTATCCCTATTATTTTCTGTAGTAGTTGAGACATAGGAGGCATTGAACAAATATTCTGAATTAATGAATAAAAAGTAAATCCAGCTTAAGATGATCTAGGAAGGATTGTTGCAGGAATTGATTTTTCATTTTGTTAGTCTGAATATATTGGGGGATAAATAATCACTCTCTAGGCTCCAGGCAGACCAAATAATGCACACATAACTTTTCCTCAAGGAACTCTTCATCTATTTTTGTTAGAAAGGAAGTTGGAGAATGTTGGGAAACAAATCAAATGCAGTAGTATGCAGGCATATATGTATGAAGTCTCAAAGGTTGCTTAGAGGAGGGAATATTCCTGCTCTAATTTTAGCTTTAACAACCTTAGTCATGTTACTATAACCCTCTTATGCCTGAGATCCCATGTGTTCAAAATTAGAGGCTTAGTCAAAATAATGGAGGCCTTCCTCACCTTTGGCTTTCAAGGGATTCAACCTGTCTACATTCTGGATACTCAGAAAAAATACGCAGTCATTTAGTAGAATGAGAGACAGTGGCCCAACCCATTGACACCTATGAGGGTAGACCTCATGGGCTGGGCCCACTAGAAGTCATCATTCTGTGCTAGAGCAGCAAGTTCACCTACATAAAATAAAAGCTTTTTCCTGTCACCACATAGTGAATATTAGGGGGTAAGAAGAACAATGAGCAAATTCTCAAATGGAAGCTCAGTTTGATGTACGTTTCAACTCCACAGTAACGCTGAATTATACTTCCTCTGGGACCACTTTAGCTCACCAAGAGTCCACCTTGATAGATTTCAGTAGAAAGAAACAGAGACCTTTGTGTAAGGTCTGCAATGCTGTATTTTACATCTCTTTGTGGAGCCCTGAAAACATCAAAATAAATGACCTTGAGTACCATTACCTTCCTGTTTCTGTCAGAAGACTAGAGAATGATGGTGAGAGAGAACACACACATTGAGAATGACTAGATAAAAGGCATCTTCTTCTACTTTAAAATTCTCCCTGGAGAGAGAATCATTCAATCCCCTTGGTAGTTTAGAAAGTGCTACTTACCTGCCACCAACACATGGGAAAACATAAACACACAATCCTACTGACCTCTTTGAGTCAAAATACTTTCTAAATCACTTCATTAACATAAGAGGCAAGAAGATGGAAATCCTAGCACAATATTTGAATTTCTAGTTCAGTACACATACATTAGAGGTACAATTCCTTCCTTGGATACTACCATTAAATTTAGGAAAAGAATATTTAGTTACAGCCTTAGTTTTAAGTGTACTTACTCACCTGGCAGAAAAATACTACTGGACAGAGTATATGGCAGAGAAATAGGCAAACGGGAAAGATGATCCAGTTAGTTTTCAAATCCAATATGTCTTTATTATTCATTCATTTATCCACGTAATCCTTAAATCACTTGTTCATTTACTGTGTCTGACACGGTGACTGGGCTTGAAGAAGAGAGATGAAAGGCACAAAACCCCTGCCCTTCAGAAGTTCTTAGTTGAGTGAGATAAATAGCTAACATGCATTGGCACTGTTCTATTCTTCAGATCTAATACTCACAAAAATCCTAGAATTGAGGTAATATTATTATCCCCATTTTATAGATGGGATATATGGGGGCCCAGAGAAGTTTAAACATTATTCCAAGGTCATACAGCTGGGAAGTGGCAGAACTGGGATTTGAACCTGGGTTGTCAACCTGCAGGGTATGTACTCTCAACTACATGTCATACCAATAACAGGCATCAGAGACACATGAGATGTGGAAGCATAGTTGCTAAGAGTATGAACCCTGAAGTTATACTACAAAGATTTCAATGCTGGTTTTGCAACTTATTTACTGTGTGACTTTTGACAAGTGTTTTAATTTTTATGGTTTTTTTTTTTTGTATGTATCTTTTTCATGAGCTATTGTGAGATGGAAATAAGAAAATGCATGTAAACTGCCTAGAAGAGTATCTGGTTTGTAAAATGTATGCAGTAAGTGTCCGATATTACTATTAATAATAAGAGTAGGCCTGGGTGCAGTGAGTCATGCCTGTAATCTCAGCACTTTGGGAGGCTGAGACAAGCAGATCAGATCACTTGAGACCAGGTGTTCCAAACCAGCCTGGGAAATGTGGAGAAACCCCATCTCTACAAAAAATTAAAAAATTAGCTGGCCATGGTGTTGCATGTTTGTAGTCCCAGCCACTTGGGAGGCCAAGATGGGAGGATCACCTGAACCCAGGGAGGTAGAAGCTTCACTGAGTCGAGACTACACCACTGCACTCCAACCTGGGTGACAGAGTGAGACCCTGTCTCAAAATAATAATAATAAAAATAATACTAATAGTAAAGCTAGTGTAAGGGAACTACATGATGGCATAAAGGAGGAAGGGGGTCATTTCTACTTGATGTGTCAAGGGTGGCATAACCCCTTGTCTCTTCCCACCCTCACCACATTATGCTTTCTAAGTAAGTCTTCAAGGACAGCCCATGCAAAAATTACTACAGTGACTTAAGGCCATGAAATATAACTTATAAAGAAAAACAAAATAATGAAATTGATCACGAAGCATAACAATATCAGTGTCCAGAAAACATTAATAATGTAATGCCATGCAATGTTTTAAAAACACACAGTGATGACTGCAAGTTCTCCATATTTACCTAAATAAATTTGATTATAAGAAAATTTGATAAGTTTGGTGAAAAAGAAAGTTTCTTCTGAATGACTATTGTTAATCCTTAAAAGAGATGACTAAGAAACATTGTAGTATTCTCTTTTTTGGACACAGAGTCGTCTCTGCATGAGTTGATGTAATCATGACCCAGAAGGGTCAAGATAATAAGAAAAGCAACAGTCTTCTTTGACTATGGAGTAACATTGGTGATCATCATTCATCCAAAGAGCCTAGGGGCTTCCATTTATGAAGCCTAGTACATGGTCTCCAGAGAAATAATTATAACTATAGAATGTAAGTCCTGGGAAAAAAAAAAGACTTCTGTGGTCATTTGGTCAAACCATTTATATTTCAAATGAAGACATGGTCCCAGAGAGGCTAAATGATCTAGAACTATAATGAGTGTCCCCTTATCTCTATTTAGAATCTCTGAAGCAATTAAAAAACATAACCACCACTTTCTCAATAACATTTTTGATAGAAAATTCCTTTTGCAATATTAGTATCCATAGAAAACACCAAGTTTAGAATACTTGGAAGGAAAATGACAGCTTCACAAGGAATCAATGTTCAATACAATTTTGTTGAATGACCAAGTGGTTGATCTCTGACTTAGAGAGAGAATGCATGTCTGTGTTTTTAATCTTCATACTGTAAATGTCCATAGAAATAGAGTTTTTAAAAAGTGCTTTCACTCAGATTATGTAATTTTATCCTCACATCCTCCTAGGAGACAGTTAAATTAAAAACTATTATATTAATTGGACAAATCGGGAAACTGTAGCCAAATGAACCTATGCAAGGTATTTACCTCCAAGTAACTAATATTTGAGAAGGCAAAGATTGAAAGCCAGGTCTAAACAAATCTTTAATGCTGTTTTGAAAAATTATATTAGTTGCTTTTCTTCCACTCTCCTTAATTTTGTTTTGCAATATATCAGAAATATTGTCACATCTAATTTGCAAGCTTCCTTCAGGGTTAAATAAACTGCAAGAATATTTGAATGACAATTCCCCTAGACTGTTGAAGGAGGGAAAATAATTTGACATGCTTTGTGCATAAGCACTTGATGTCTAGACGTATTATTTCAATCCAATTTAGGTGACTTGGTTTTTTGTTTTTGTTGTGTTTTTCTTTCATTTTAAAGCTATTACAACATGATTCTGATGTTGCTTCCCTTTTCTTCCTTATTTGAAAGTTTGTGCCAACACTCTTAAAATTGTATTTAATTTAGGAAAAGGTTTCAAAACATTGGAATTTCTTCTGTTAGGGAAAATCTGTTAGGGAAAAAGTTGTTTATAAAACAAATATAATGTCAAATAATAGCTCTTCAGATCTCCAAAAATTATATTCTTTTCAGGATCTTTGCAAAAATGTCATGTTGAGAACAACAAAAGATAATGGAATGTATACAGACACTCATTTTTCTGACATTATATACAGATGAATTTTTTTCTTTGAGCTGGTGACATTTTGCAGGCTGCAGTTGAATGAATTGTTAGGAATAATAATGCATGCCCCTGAGATGGTGAAGTGTAGCATGGGTATGTCCACATGAGACTATATTTTAGTAGTGTTTTGGGAAAATTGTTTTTCTACATTTTTCTTAAATTTGGATCACTTTCTTCTTTTCAAATGACCTTAAAGATATCACTAGAGGAACACACAGAAAATAATAAGAAATTAATCTGGTAACATTCCATTTGTCCTTTAAAAGAAAGATTCTTATGAATTTTGTTTTGATTGAGTGACCGTGAGCCTCAGTGCATCCATTTTCACTATATGAAGGTATTAAATACTGAGGATATGGCCGGTCATGCTACATAACCAAATAACTATTCTTCTTTTAATTAACTTTCAGTTTGGTGGGAGGAATATATGTATGTAGTTAAATAACTAAAATGCAAAGTATGATATATTATAAATATATACAAGAGATATAAAGTTGAACACAGTAAGTGTTTAGTAAAGGGCAGGTGCTATTATCAATAACAGTTAATAATGAAAGCAGGCATAAGTGCGTAGATAATTTCCTGCTACAGAAAGCAGGATGTGTTATTCTACCAACACTTCTACCAGTTCTGATTGAGGAGAAGTGTGAAGAAAATGGAGAAACAAATTAAATTTATTTTAACATTATAATGTGGTTACATAGTATCATCTTAATTAGAGCCATTCTTCTTTATTATCCCCATATTGTGCTTCTGACTATTTTGTAGACAAGAATACTAAGGGTAAGAGAGTTTAAGTGACTTATCAAAAGCTACACGGCAAGAAAATAGCAGATCTGGGTTTTGAAGTCAAATTCATTTGCTTCCAAATATTAATACATTTTCTTCCATAGGACAATAATTTCTATTCCACTGAGGACCTGGTACTTGGGCTGGAACCAACCTATAGATGAGCAAAATATTCAGCTGCAGAAGATAGGTAGAGTTTTGTAGGCCAATATATTGAGATGTTGAAATATTCGAAGAGACAAGAGAATTCAGTGCATATTAGAACTATGCTATGCATACTCTTAAATACAGATTAGGAAGTTTGCTTGTTACTTTGTAGAGCTTGAGTCACTTTATATTGTCACACAAGAGAGGGGCAGCTGTTTGCTACTGGCCTCTAGTAAGTAGAGTCCAGGAATGCTGCTAAACATTCTGCAATATATAGGACAGCCACCTTCAATAAATGATTATCTGTTCAAAAATGTCAATAGTGCTGAGGTTGAGAAAGCCTAATGCTGCTAATCAGTCTCCATTAAGATATTTTAAGTTAAAAAAAAAGAGTGGCAGAATCGCACATGTGAAAGATCACTCTACATCAAAATTTAGGAAAAATTGGAGTTAAGATGTGACTACAGCCTATATTAACCCTATATTTTGAGTGAATAAGGCTAAACAATCCTAAGATTTTTAACTGAGAAAGTATAAGGCAAAAAGAGAAACAATAAGACTCTCCTGCAATTTGGGTTGTGTGTCTACTGCTTTATACCTCTAACTGAAGTCAGAATTTGAAGTGTTTAAGGACCTTGGAGAGCACCTAACTAGACCACTGTTTCCCAGATCAATCTAGGAATTGGGACAAACTCAAAATCTGGTTATTAATACAGATTTTCCTGACCTTTCAAAGAATGGTTTGTAAATCTAGTTGGGATTTGAAGAACTGCATTCTTCAAAAGTTTCCCAGGTGATCCTGGAAAATAAATTTTGAGAAACAAAAGATTCTAGCCCACTCTCCTTATTTTGTAGATCAGGCCATGCTAAATTACTCTTCTGATGTCAAAGAGATATTTAATGCAGTTTTGGAGCTAAAATTAAACTGTCCTGATGTACACGCCAAAGCTTCTTCAGTAGGTATTGTGGATATGCTCTGTAATGGACACACTGGAGATCTGATCTGTTTCTGACCCATTGGTCTATGTCACAGGGTTTAGCATATTGCCTTCTCAGTCAATTTAAGGATTGGAAAGCCAATCCTTAAATATAAACTCAGATTTGTTCCTCCAATATGTGATGTATTTGAATTAAGAGGTAAGAATATCTTTAAAGACTCTGGCACCTCAGTCTCATCCTCAGAGTCATTTTACTGTGTGTTAAGTATGTCTCTTTTATTTTCTGGATAAAAACTTTTCCCTCCAAGAACTGGATGTCACATGGAGAAAGGATGTGTCTAATTCCCAGACCTTTGGTACTCATAGTAAACCTCAGAGATTACCTTTTTCTAAAGTCAAATTGCTCATCTTTCTTGTGTGTTTTACTTCTCAGGAGAATATGTTGTTATGACCACTCATTTCCACTTGAAGAGAAAGATTGGCTACTTTGTTATTCAAACATACCTGCCATGCATAATGACAGTGATTCTCTCACAAGTCTCCTTCTGGCTCAACAGAGAGTCTGTACCAGCAAGAACTGTCTTTGGTAAGTCCCAATCAAGATACATACGCAAGGAAGGGTATGGAAGACAAGTTATGTCATATCTGTGACACTGCAAAGAGAAATAAAAAAAAATATACACTCAAATATTAAGTTCATATAACAGAAAGTTTCAAGGAATTGCCACTCTCATTATGGTATATATTTTTTAAAACTATTTAACTAGCAAGCTGTTTTAGTATTTGTGAATAGATGGCATTAATGAATATTTGATTTGATATTTTGAGGTAAAAATGAAGTGAAGCAGGCATAAAATGCATAATATTAAAAACTCATAAATAAAAACTTAATATTTAAACAATATATTTAGAATATATAACATGAATCACTGAGTTGTTCGAGAAGCTTAGAAAATATCAGCAGAGCTACTTATTTACATTTATAAAAAGCAGAGCTTCTTTAAGTAGGGAGAGCCAATTAATGACCACCATATCACTACAGGAATAAGTCACTTTACCTGATGTGTGCACTTCTGTAGAGTTACATGCATTCATTTTTTCTATTACAATATTTTTAATGACCTACATGCTTCAAGTTAAGAAATCTAATTGAGTATTGTTTAAAGGGTAAACAACCTTTTACAAATAGGAAAACTTATTTCCTCATGTATTATTTTAGAGGGTGCATTTGATATAAAAAGGTATTTCCTGCCTATATCCCCGTATACTATTTCAACTGTATTTTTCAGGCTGATAAAAATGAAAGATTCCAATACAATATCTTCTAGACACAGAAAGCAGTAGTGAACTGAACACAAATCACCACTCTCGTTATGAAAATTGCATTCTGAAGCTTAAAATTGAGTAATCATAAAATCAAATGCTTTTATACTAGGCGCTATTCTATACAATTAGCCTGTATTACTTAACTATAAAACAAATTCTATCTACTATTATTATTTCCATTTTTAAAAGTGAAATCTAAGGAACAACAGATTAAGTAATCTGCCCATAGTTAGAAGCTATTAGATGGAGCCAGGACGAAGACCCTAGCATTTAGCTCTGGAGTCTGTTCGCCTAATGACAATGCTGTATCGTCACCTCTGAGCTATCCTGCTGCAATGAAAATAATTGAAATGGGAGTATTGTGGTTAACTTCATTTGGAAATCACCACTACGTATTTATTGGTGAGAGGTGCAATTATCAAGGTTCATTCCACAAATATCAACTAGGCACCTGCTGTTTTTAAGAGCTGTGCTAAAGGATAAAAGCCTTAAGAAGCTTATAGTCTAAACTGAGGATTATTCACCTGAAGAGATTCCTATGGTATCATTTTTCAATAATATGTAGTGTATGAAAAATCAGTTATCTCAGAAAAAAAGCAAGACTCTGCTACAAGTACCAGAAACGTGTATTTTCTTCTGAACTTGGCAATATGCTTCTAGATTGGCAAACACCAAATCATTGCTCCGACAATTGCCTAAGCATATAGCTAAATTAATATTCAGAATAATTGCAGCTGCAGAACAAAAGAGCAGTTCATTGCATACTCATTCTTTCCCATTACCACGTGTCGATATTAATTAGCAATGAACTCACTAAAGACGAAGTCTTGTTAAGATGCTTATATCTGTATGAGTATGCCTTTTTCTCACTAGGAAATTAAAACAAACAAACAAACAAACAAACAAACAAAAACAAACAAAAAACACAGGACAGGCCGGGCACGGGGCCCACGTCTGTAATCCCAGCACTTTGGGAGGCCGAGGCGGGTGGATCACGAGGTCAGGAGATCGAGACCATCCTGGCCAACATGGTGAAACCCCGTCTCTACTAAAAATACAAAAAATTAGCTGGGTGTAGTGGTGGGTGCCTGTAGTCTCAGCTACTCGGGAGGCTGAGGCAGGAGAATGGCTTGAACCCTGGAGGTGCAGCTAGCAGTGAGCCAAGATCGTGCCACTGCACTCCAGCCTGGAGCAACAGAGCGAGACTCCTTCTCAAAAAAATAATAATAATAATAATAATAATAATAATAATAATAATAAAATAAACACAGGACATATTTATGTTTTATTTTATTTTTGTAGTATGAGTACAACACTATATTGGAAAAGGTTCCTTTAAAAGGTGATTTACCCCTTCCCACACCAACGAATTCTACTCTTTTGATTTGAAAATTATTTACAGCATTTCAGATGGTGTATGTCAAAAAACATTGCTCTTAACTTTTTCAGCAATCTTATATCTCAACAGACTCATGGCCTTTGATGAACATAACTATATGTCTGTAAACTTAGTTGTGACAAGTATTTTTGTGTTTCAAGTTTTATGTTTCTAATATTTTAAGTTCACTAGAATCACAAATACAATTTTCTAGACTTTTAACCTTTTAACATTTATTTTGTACACATGTTTCTATGCTTTTTAGTTTGAACTCAGCACATTTTTTTTTCTGAGCTCTGTGAGAAGCCTAAAAGGATCATGTAGATTCAAAAAGAAAAAAACAAAAGAACCAAACAAACAAACAAAAGTTGTACTTTATAACCATTTATTAAAAGACATCCAGAATGAAAGAAGGTTGCAGTCTATCTTGTGCCTTAGAAGACCATATTCTTGGTTTTCCATGCTGTCTCTCATCTGGAGGCAGTGTGGTCACTTAATTTTGCTGCCAAATACATCCAAGTTTGAGATTCAGTCTCGCCACCTACCAGCTGCATGGCATTGGCAAATTTACTTCCTCTTATGGAGCTTCAGTTGTCTGTTAAATGAAAGTACAAGGAAAGTAAAGTAATGCTGTTTTTTAAAAATTTAGCAAATAAAAAAAATATACATTGTCAGGTTCCATACTTGTAACTTAAAAGCTGTTCAACAAATCTGTGTTCTTTTCTCTTTTCCTATAACAGGAATTGTATTTTCCTATGGCACAAATTGTATCTTCATGTTAATCTTCTCAACTGCTCTTAATTTATGGACACATTTGGTTTAAAAATACCCGTTACCACATTACTTCTGAGAACTGACTACATAAACCAAGATTTTTTTAAAAAAATTGAATTTATTGTAGTAGGGATTTATCAAAAAGGACTAAAGTTGTCAATTATAATAGTCATTAGTTTTGCCCTTATTATCAGGCTAAGAGCTAAACACTTCATTGCATTACCTTACTTAATATTCATGATAGCCTTCTGAGTTAAACTTATTAAATCAACTTACAAGAAAAAAATTTTATAAACCCCAGAAGCTCGTGATTTTAAGTCAATTTTCTCAACGTCATTCAGCAGTTATAGAACAGGGATTTGAAACTCGGTTGCCCTGGACTTTCAATTACCCTAATATTTGCTCAAGTTAATACTGACATGTAAATTCAGGAGCCTGAATTTACAAGTCATTGCATTTAATCCTCATGATAGTCTTTTGAGTGAGTGAGCAAAAATGTCCTTCTCCTAGAATTTCAACAATGGTATAGACAGTGGAGAGAATGAAAAACAAGTCATCCCTTTTACAGATATGGGCACAGAGTTCCTACAGGTTAAATCACTTAGCAGAGGTCATAGAGCTAATAAGTGGTAGGATTGAGACTAGTCACTGGAAGAAGTCAGAATTATTTCTACAATATGTAGCCTGATCCACCCTGAATGGGTAACTGTGACTGTTTTTTTAACATTTTTATATGGTTTAAAGGGAACCTGACAGCATTATACTTTTGTACTGAGTATAGTGCATTACAAATAGTAGGCTGATAGTATTTGGTAAATGAACATTAGAGGGTATCATCTTTCTCATACTAACATATAATTGTGTAAGTAAACTAAAATGGGCTAACTTGAAAACTTCTTTTGAATAGAGGGCATTTTAATCACTAGGGATGGATTTGCAGAGTAGGAAAGATGAGGCAGTCTTATCAGAAAGAAAAAAGATTCTAACATTCGAATCAGAAAAACTGGTGTTCAGATGTTGGTACTGCTACTTCTTAGCTGTGTATTCTCTAGCAAGTTACATAAAATGTATTATTATATATATGTGTATATATATATATGTGAGTGTGTGTCTATATGTATATGAGACACACATGTTTCTATCTATATATGTCAGATTTAGGAATTTCTTTAAAAATGTAGCTATTTTTGAATCAGGAAAGATAGTGTAAAACCATGAGTCAATAAAGTGGCAATTTTCCCCGAATAGTTCAATTATCTATAAATTATCAAAAAGTCATTCACTTTCTGGTTTACATATTTGGGGTACATAGAATATTAAACAGAGCTGAGTATCCAGAAGTTACCTGTGGATCACAGGCAAGTGAAGATCTGTGATTTCTATATCAAGAACTAGGTACAGTGAGGAATGTTATTTCTTGTTTTACCCAGGACACCCATGTTCAAAGCGCCAATTTAAAGGAGCTTACTATCTTCTGAAGAGCACCTCAATAGCAGAGCAATTTATTCCTACAAGATATCCCCCTCAATGCTGCCATTCCATGAATCACAGACTACACTGGGGTTAAATTAAGACTCATCAATTCTAAACCAAAATAAGATGGTCTAGAAACCACATTCTGTCATGATACTGTTGATTTCCTTTTGTTCAAGTAGGCTGTCCCATCATGATGAAATTTCACAGTATGAACTGGCATCATGTATGTTTTTTTTTTTCTTTACAGGAGTAACAACTGTGCTCACCATGACAACATTGAGCATCAGTGCCAGAAACTCCCTCCCTAAGGTGGCTTATGCAACAGCTATGGATTGGTTTATTGCCGTGTGCTATGCCTTTGTGTTCTCAGCTCTGATTGAGTTTGCCACAGTAAACTATTTCACTAAGAGAGGTTATGCATGGGATGGCAAAAGTGTGGTTCCAGAAAAGGTAAATGCTTTAATGGTCACTGTAGTACATCAATATTATGTCTCTTTAAACCTATGAAATGAGATGTTTTGGCCTGTGGTATTGGATGGAGTATGCAGAATAATAAGGATTCTTTTTTTCTTATGTCGTAAACAATTAAGTGCCATGATAATTTTGTTATTGATAAAGGGAGAGGTCATTTAGGTGAATAGATGTACAAAGTGGAGGAGATAAAGGAGAGTCAGGAAGGCAAACATTTCTAGTCAAATAGGCTTTCCTGTGGTTTCTATTGATTTGAGAACAGTTTTAATGAACCTGATATTAGGAGCAAATAAACTTAGTCAAATCCTTTATTTACCAAGTGCGTTATAATTTTATAACTTGAAAGTTATATTCTTTTGGTTGTTTTCTGAGCCTAATCATTTGGTCATAAATGTATAACCATAATGCCTCAATTAAATTAAGTTTGCCACATGAACCATCCCTAGTTCTCTGCAAAGTCAAGGGCAGGCACATTTTCTCTTTCCAAAATAGACATATGCTTTAGGGATCATAACACACAGAAATTACCAAGAAATGCCTCATGGTAGAAAATGTTCAAGTTAAGAATACTGCTGCTTCTCTCAATTAGAACCTATTACACAGTATGGATTTTATGTCACAGCTTGGGAGGATAGCTGTGTTTGTGGGGTTTGAAGAACAAGCGTGACAAAATGCAAGTAAGCTTTGGGATGCTGTGATGAAGAGCAAAGACAGAGACAAAGAGATTTTAAGATGTTTAGAAATAATCTAGAAGGAGTCACTTGACATAAGCTTTTCTGAAACTTTATTCTATAGAATATTAGTTTCTTAAGATACTCTCTGAAAATTTAGTTCTTTGTTGATGCCCACTTGAATATTGCTGCATACTGTATTTCCTGGTCACAGCATATTAAAGGGGCTAAGAAATTCTGTAGTAAATAAACTGGCTTAACTGTGTTTATCCCATAGTTAAACAAATGCATTAGATAAGAAAATCCTCTGTAGTGGTAACATCTACCTTATTTAATAAAATCTAAGGTGTTGTACTTCTTGATGGCAAAAGGCTATTAAATACTGCCTGCATTTTTAATTTATTATAATAAGACAGGCATAAATTATGTTTTTAAATTCCTAAATAAGGCACAGATTTAGGCTGCAAAATAAGGGCCACCTTGCTCAGCAACTTATAATTTTGCTTCTCACTGTTTACTAAACAAAATGCATTGCTCTTTCTTTCTACAGCCAAAGAAAGTAAAGGATCCTCTTATTAAGAAAAACAACACTTACGCTCCAACAGCAACCAGCTACACCCCTAATTTGGCCAGGGGCGACCCGGGCTTAGCCACCATTGCTAAAAGTGCAACCATAGAACCTAAAGAGGTCAAGCCCGAAACAAAACCACCAGAACCCAAGAAAACCTTTAACAGTGTCAGCAAAATTGACCGACTGTCAAGAATAGCCTTCCCGCTGCTATTTGGAATCTTTAACTTAGTCTACTGGGCTACGTATTTAAACAGAGAGCCTCAGCTAAAAGCCCCCACACCACATCAATAGATCTTTTACTCACATTCTGTTGTTCAGTCCTCTGCACTGGGAATTTATTTATGTTCTCAACGCAGTAATTCCCATCTGCTTTATTGCCTCTGTCTTAAAGAATTTGAAAGTTTCCTTATTTTCATAATTCATTTAAGAACAAGAGACCCCTGTCTGGCAGTCTGGAGCAAAGCAGACTATGCAGCTTGGAGACAGGATTCTGACAGAGCAAGCGAAAGAGCAAAGTCATGTCAGAAGGAGACAGAATGAGAGAGAAAAGAGGGGGAAGATGGTTCAAAGATACAAGAAAAAGTAGAAAAAAAAATAACACTTAACTAAAACCCCTAGGTCATTTGTAGATATATATTTCCAAATATTCTAAAAAAGATACTGTATATGTCAAAAATATTTTTATGTGAAGGTGTTTCAAAGGGTAAATTATAAATGTTTCATGAAGAAAAAATTTTAAAAATCTACGTCTTTATTACACAAACTATGGTGTGCTTATGTTTTTGTTTTGCTTTTTAAACTGATGTATAGCTTTAACATTTTGTTTCCAAAGCTGAAGATCCCCATTCTTTCTCTTTGAAAAAAAAAAAGGCCTAATGCATTATTTTGTCATAAAATGCTATTTTAAAATTCATGGAACTTTCATACGTAAAGGTGCAGTTGCTCATTGTAGAGCACATTTAGTCCAATGAAGATAAATGCTTTAAATAGTTTACTTCACTTTCATCTGAGCTTTTACCACTAGACTCAAGGAAGAATAATTTTAACAGACATGTATACTCCATAGAAACTAAACTAAAATAGTTTAAAAATATTCCCTTTTTCACCCTATTTTCAGATAGCACATGAGCCCAACACTCACTTAATTCTCATTATGAAGATGTTTTTAGAGGGGCAAAAATATTTTGCAAGCTCTGGAATTGTTGAATGTATTCTTTTATATAACTACATTAAAAGCTTTAGATTGAAATTTATGACTAGCAAACAAAAATAGAATATATAAACGATATATGTAAATATACAGCATGAGATTGTACATTTTTTACTTTTTTAAAATTGTGTTCTTAAAATATTGTGTAAGAATCACTGCACTTAGCTGTTGGAATGTTGTTAAATGCTATGGAAATACATTTAGAACCTGCATTTAAGAACAGAACAGCAAGTATGAACCACATGGAACTTAAAACATATGGGTGTGAAGTCCACTTATGTAGACAAAACTTATAATTTCCAAACTGTTGTCTAGTATACAGTGATCAGTTGCTCTCTGTTCAAGTCATTCCACACATTTCCCTATTTTAGGCTATTATAATATAGAAAGAAAATGGGAAGCATTAGTTGGAGCTAGAAAATGAACTGTATATTATTGCTATATTTGCTAATACCAACTATTTCAATAAGTGTTGTACCATATGTAGCATTAAATATAAAATACATAAAAGAATGTACAGAAAATAGCTTTTATTGAGTAATATTACATTTCATTTATACTGTAGCAATATATTTGTAGGTATACTATGTAAGGGCTTTAAATAAAAGAGGTCCATTAATACTTCCTTATAAAAATTCTAGTCTGTTTCATTACTGCCCAGATGTTTTAGAGATAAATATTTATGCAGAAGGTATTTTTGAAGTCTCCTTTTGTCTGATAGAGTTTAACAGATATTTAAATTTAGTGCTCAGAATCCACAAGTCACGGTCTAAACACACTTAGAATACTACAGCATAAATCTGTTAGCATTATTGCCAAATAAGACAGTTGGGATCCAAACCCAAGTCTTGAGCAATGTTTTTCTCAAAAAGCTGCTATCCAATGATATAGGAAAATACATTGTGTTTTCCTAAACACACTTTTCTTTTTAAATGTGCTTCATTGTTTGATTTGGTCCTGCCTAAATTTCACAAGCTAGGCCAATGAAGGCTGAATCAAAGACATTTCATCCACCAATATCATGTGTAGATATTATGTATAGAAAATAAAATAAATTATGGCTCTAACTTCTGTGTTGCTGTTTATCTTGTTATTTTTCGGCGTTATACTAATGTGTTTATTGAGAGCATTTTACCTTCCAGACTTCTCATGGCTAACTTTTGGTCTGTATTTTGCTCCTTAGATGTGAATATTTCTTATTAGTCTGCTTCCTGCTACGCAATGACTGCATTTCTATCATTTCTCAGTTTGTTAGTATATGTGGATAGTATTCTACTGTATAAATGATTGCAAAGTTTATCAAAAACAAATTATTATATGTAGCTTTTCTACAGTGCTTTGCTAAACCATGTAGTACTAGTTAAGTCTTCCTTGAAAATAAAGATACACTCTTATAGGGGACAGTTCCTGTTCACTCCCAGGAAACTTTTTTAAAAGATGACACTGAATGTTTATTGCACTTTAGTGCAGTGAAGTGGCAATAAAACCTAACATGAATCAAGGTTGTTTATGGCAGATGCATGTGTTGCTTTACAGAGTTTAGCAAAAGCTCTTAATTTTATGTCATACTGTATTCTACTGAATAATAAAGCTAACATTATTCAATAATAAAATGGAATACTTGACTCTCTTTTCATGTTTTGAAAGGACTTTTCATTGCTCTGTTTTAATGCATTTTTACATTAGAAGCACCTGAAAGTACCAAGTGCTAGCAGGAATCTAGGCCACTAGAAAGATACTAAAAAATGTCAATAGTATGATCCTAAACTATGATTTTTAAAAAATTATTTATGATATAAAAATGAATTAAACACCAGGTTTCTGGTATTACTAGTAGCACTTTGAAGTTTATGAAATATAAACATAAGAGAGTGAAAATGCTGAAATGATAATGGAATTTGTTCATATGTATTGATAGCATAGGAAACTCATTTTTCATTCAATCCTGAGACTCTGACTTAATTGTTTTGAGGTTGCATCTGAGCACTGTAGTTTTATAAGCTATCCTGGTGACTCTCAGTATGTAGCCAAAGTTGTTACATTGTTAATACTTTTCATTTTAACTTAAATTCCTTAAGGTTTCTGTAATCAGTCACATCAAGGTAAAAAATATTTATAATCACATGCAAGACAATAGAAAAATCATTTCAATGATAGACATAAAACCATAATTGGATTCTACACACCAGACCACATGAGACAAAATTTCTGCTTTAGATGATGGTCTTGCCAGAACAACGTAAATTGTACCTTCAACAAATAAAACCTACATATTCCCTAGTAATGACTCACAACTTTATAAAAACTCACAATTAAAAATCCTCCGACGGCTGGGTGCAGTGGCTCACGCCTGTAATCCCAGCACTTTGGGAGGCCGAGGTGGGCAGATCATGAGGTCAGGAGATCCAGACCATCCTGGCTAACACGGTGAAACCAGGTCTCTACTAAAAATACAAAAAATTAGCTGGGTGTGGTGGTGGGTGCCTGTAGTCCCAGCTACTCGGGAGGCTGAGGCAGGGGAATGGCCTGAACTCGGGAGGCGGAGTTTGCAGTGAGCCGAGATCACGCCATTGCACTCCAGCCTTGGCGACAGAGCGAGACTCCATCTCAAAAAAAAAAAAAAAAAAAAAAAAAAATTTTCCAACTAAATTATTTATTCAAATAAAACTGTCAATGTAAACTAGCTGAACCATCATATTTGTTGATTTCTGGGTTCTCATAAAAAAGAATGCGGTGAATGATGAATATTTTGTCTATCAAACCAAATTCATGTCAAGGCTCACCACATAATTATCAAAGAAATCACAATAAGAAAGGGCTTGGCATTATTGCTGACCATCTGTTTGAAATTCATTGTACCAGTTAGTTATAACCTTCTGTTGGATTTTTCTGAAATCTATCCAGCTCTTATGACCAACAATAATAAACATCTAACTTGACTATATTATACCCACAATCCAGCAAAATAGTTTAACTTCAAATGTTGATTTAATTTAATTAAACTAAATTCTACTAACATTGGCTGAGTCTTTTCCCTGTACTAAATACTGTACTTGATGATGGGGATGTAGATGTAAATATCGCCATTTTCCTTACAAAAATAATGGTTATGTTGGGGAAGGAAAACAATCAGACAAAGATAATAAAATAAGTATTATGATAAAGTAGAGGATGCTAACCAGTATGTAAAAGAAGTGCCTTGCCACTTTTCATAAGGCTAGCAAATTGGATTTGTAGAAACTAATGATGTTCAAGTTGAAACTTGAAGTATAAGAGGAATTGAAACCATCCTGGACCTGGACTATGAATGAGTGGACTTCTGATCTAATGCCAGTTTTGTGAGTTGTTAGCCATTAAACCACAAACCAAACATTTGAAACCTCTAAGATCCCTTTAGCTACTGGGATAGATACTGAGCTTGCAGAGAAGAAGATGACAATATAATCTTGGAAAGCTCATAAGTTCATAGAGATTCAGAAAGAATCTAAAATTACAATACTACCTATATTACATATAATTACTGAAAAATGTGCAAGTGTAGGAGACTTACCTGGGGAGTGGTATGAGGGAAGTCTTTAAATGAAAGTGTTAGCCAAGCTAGCTTTTGTTTTGCTTTAGGAATATAAACTTTATTTTTTCAATACAAGCTCCATCAATTCAAGACACTTCTGTAAGCAATGATACCAGACATTCAGTCCATTCCTAAATAACTGAGGGTCCTGGGAATATAACCATGTAAATGAAGTATTTTTTACATTAAGTGAAGAAAATGAGTGTCTTTTAAAAATTGTTAAGATCAGAAAACAAAAAATGTCAGAAAGAGATAAATCAGGACTGTAATGATTTCCAGTCAAAACTCTTGCAAAATTGCCCTAGTTTGACGAGATGCCCAAGCAGCATTGTTGGGGTGGAGAAGGACTCTCTGATGAAGGTTTCTTGGGCATTTTTCTGCAAAAGCTTTGGCTAACTTTTTCAAAATACTCCCATATAAGCAGATGTTATCATTCCTTGGCCTTCCAGAAAGTCAACAAGCACATTGTTTTTAGTATCACAAAAAAACTGTTGTCATGACCTTTGCCTTTGACCAGTCCGCTTTTGCTTTGATTGGACCACTTTGATATCTTGGTAGCATTGTTTTCAGGATTGTGCTGGTAGAGCCCATTCCATCTTCTGTTACAATTCTTAGAAGAAATGCTTCAGGCTTGGTCACATTTATTTAAATTTCCACTGAAAGGTTTGCTCTTGTCTGCAACTGATCTGCGCTTAATAGTTTTGGCACCTATTAAGTGGAAACTTTGCTCAACTTTGATTTTCAGTAAAATTGTGTAAGCTGAACCAGTTGAAATGTCTATGGTGTTTGCTGTGTGTTCTGCTATTAGTTGTCTTCAATTACAGCATGAACAAGATTAAAAATTTAAAATTTGCAAGTTGATGTAGATGGTTTGCTGCTGTGGGCTTCATCTTCAACATTATCTTGGCCCTTCTTAAAAATAGGTATCCATTTATGAAGTGTCTATTCATATCCTTTGCCCACTTTTTGATGGGCTTGTTTGTTTTTTTCTTGTAAATGTATTTAAGTTATTTGTAGATTCTGGATATTAGCCCTTTGTCAGATGGGTAGATTGTGAAAATTTTCTCCCATTCTGTAGGTTGCCTGTTCATGCTGATGGTAGCTTCTTTTGCTGCGCAGAAGCTCTTTAGTTTAATTAGATCCCATTGATCTATTTTGGGTTTTGTTGCCATTGCTTTTGGTGTTTTAGTCATGGAGTCTTTGCCCATGCCTATGTCCTGAATGGTATTGCCTAGGTTTTCTTTTACTTTTTATGGTTTTAGGTCTTATGTTAAGTCTTTAATCCATCTTGAGTTAATTTTTGTATAAGGTGTAAGGAAGGGATCCAGTTTCAGTTTCCTACAGATGGCTAGCTAGTTTTCCCAGCACCATTTATTAAATAAGGAATCCTTTCCCTATTGCTTGTTTTTGTCAGGTTTGTTAAAGATCAGATGGTTGTAGATGTGTGGTGTTATTTCTGAGGCCTCTGTTCTGTTCCATTAGTCTATATATCTGTTTTGGTACCAGTACCATACTGTTTTGGTTACTGTAGCCTTATACTATTGTTTGAAGTCAGGTAGCATGATGCCTCCCGCTTTGTTCTTTTTGCTTAGGATTGTCTTGGCTATGCGGGCTCTTTTTTGGTTCCATATGAACTTTAAAATAGTTTTTTCCAATTCGGTGAAGAAAGTCACTGGTAGCTTGATGGGGATGGCATTGAATCTACAAATTACCTTGGGCAGTATGGCCATTTTCACGATATTGATTCTTCCTATCTATGAGCATGGAATATTCTTTCATTTGTTTGTGTCTTCTTTTATTTTGTTGAGCAGTGGTTTGTAGTTCTCCTTGAAGAGTCCTTCACATCCCTTGTAAGTTGGATTCCTAGGTGTTTTATTCTCTTTGTAGCAATTGTGAATGGAAGTTCACTCATGATTGGGTTCTCTTTCTGTTATTGGTGTATAGGAATGCTTGTGATTTTTGCACATTGATTTTGTATCCTGAGACTTTGCTGACGTTGCTTATCAGCTTAAGGAGATTTTGGGCTGAGACCATGGGGTTGTCTAAATATACAATCACGTCATCTGCGAACAGAGACAATTTGACTTGCTCTTTTCCTGATTGAATACCCTTTATTTCTTTCTCTTGCCTGATTGTCTTGGCCAGAACTTCCAACACTATGTTGAATAGGAGTAGTGAGAGAGAGCATTCTTGTCTTGTCCTGGTTTTCAAAGGGAATGCTTCCAGTTTTTGCCCATTCAGTATGATATTGGCTGTGGGTTTGTCATAAATATCTCTTATTATTTTGAGATACATTCCATCGATACCTAGTTTATTGAGAGTTTTTAGCATGAAGGCTGTTGAATTTTGTGGAAGGTCTTTTCTGCATCTATTGAGATAATCATGTGGCTTTTGTCGTTGGTTCTGTTTATGTGATGGATTACGTTTATTGATTTGTGTATATTGAGGCAGCCTTGCATTCCAGGGATGAACCCGACTTGATCGTGGTGGATAAGTTTTTTGATGTGCTGCTGGATTCGGTTTGCCACTATTTTATTGAGGATTTTTGCATCGATGTTCATCAGGGATATTGGTCTAAAATTTTCTTTTTCTGTTGTGTCTCTGCCAGGCTTTGGTATCAGGATGATGCTGGCCTCATAAAATGAGTTAGGGAGGATTCCTTCTTTTTCTATTGATTGGAATAGTTTCAGAAAGAATGGTACCAGCTCCTCTTTGTACCTCTGGTCGAATTCGGCTCTGAATCTGTCTGGTCCTGGACTTTTTTTGGTTGGTAGGATATTAATTATTGCCTCAATTTCAGAGCCGGTTATTGGTCTATTCACAGATTCGACTTCTTCCTGGTTTAGTCTTGGGAGGGTTTATGTGTCCAGGAATGTATCCATTTCTTCTAGATTTTCTACTATATTTGTGTAGAGGTGTTTATAGTATTCCCTGAAGGTAGTTTGTATTTCTGTGGGAATGGTGGTGATATTCCCTTTAAAATTTTTTATTGCATCTATTTGATTCTTCTCTCTTTTCTTCTTTTTTAGTCTTGCTAGTGGTCTATCAATTTTGTTGATCTTTTCAAAAAACCAGTTCCTGGATTCATTGATTTTTTTGAAGGGTTTTTTTTGTGTGTCTCTATCTCCTTCAGTTCTGCTCTGATCTTTTTTATTTCTTGCCTTCTGCTAGCTTTTGAATGTGTTTGCTCTTGCTTCTCTAGTTCTTTTAATTGTGATGTAAGGGTGTCGATTTTAGATCTTTCCTGCTTTCTCTTGTGGGCATTTAGTGCTATAAATTTCCCTCTACGCACTGCTTTAAATGTGTTCCAGAGATTCTGGTACTTTGTGTATTTGTTCTCACTGGTTTCAAAGAACATCTTTATTTCTGCATTTGTGCAGCCAACAGACACATGAAAAAATGCTCACCATCACGGGTCATCAGAGAAATGCAAATCAAAATCAAAATGAAATACCATCTCGTGCTTGTTAGAATGGCAATCATTAAAAAGTCAGGAAACAAATGATGCTGAAGAGGATGTGGGGAAATAGGAACGTTTTTACACTGTTGGTGGGAGTGTAAATTAATTCAACCATTGGGGAAGACAGTGTGGTGATTCCTCAGGGATCTAGAACCATAAATACCATTTGACCCAGCGATCCCATTACTGGATATATACCCAAAGGACCATGCTACTATAAAGACACATGCACAAGTATGTTTTCTGCAGCACTATTCACAATAGCAAAGACTTGGAACCCACCCAAATGTCCATCAATGAATTACTGGATTAAGAAAATGTGGCACATATACACCATGGAATTATATGCAGCCATAAAATAGGATGAGTTCATGTCCTTTGCAGGGACACGGATGAAGCTGGAAACCATCATTCTCAGCAAACTATCACAAGGACAGAAAACCAAACACTGCATGTTCTCACTCATAGGTGGGAACTAAACATTGAGAACACTTGAGCACAGGGTGGGGAACATCACACACTGTGGCCTGTTGGGGGATGGGGGCTGGAGGAGGGATAGCATTAGGAGAAATACCTAATGTAAATGAAATTGATGGGTGCAGAAAACCAAAATGGCACATGTATACCTACGTAACAAACCTGCGCCTTGTGCACATGTACCCTAGAACTTAAAGTATAATAATAATAAAAAATAGTTATCCATTCGTAAAGTGCTACTGATTTCTTTGGGACATTGTCCCCATAAAATTTCTGTAATGTATCAGTGATTTCACCATTCTTCCACACAAGCTTCACCATAAATTTGATGTTTGTTCTTGCTTCAATTTTAGCACAATTGATGTTATCCTTCTTAGTGCCTCAAACTAGATCCAGAAACAGAATTTTCAACATAGATTTCAGACCCAGGTTTTAAAAACTGGAACACATTGCTTAATTTTCCCACAAAATCAGTCTTATTCTCAGTAATACTTTGGGATATTTATCACTGAGATGTACTGTTTCCTTCAGCAAAAAATTTTTAATTTTTTTTCAATTTTTTAAATTTAAATTTTATTTTTTTCCATCAAAGTATTCTCTACTACCAAGTTCCAACAGATGACTCAACTGGTTCTTTATAAACAAAAGACAACCCAACAAGAACATAGACATATTTTTCGAAGGAAACAAGAATGTATCTTCTTTCCTTGAACAAGGATGAGGGCTGACAAAGATTCTTTGCTTGACTAAATTGTCATCAGGTTAGTGAGCCGTCTTCTAGGCCCATCAGTGCACTTCCTTGTAAGAACTAGGTTTAACAAAGAACACTGCTAAATCAGTTTATTAACAAAGAACACTGCTAAGTAAATGTAAAGAACTCCAACCCTTGACTTATCTTATCAGGTTTCTAAACCTCCACCATCTCCCAGGTCTGATCACCCTGGCCTGAATCCAGTCCAGCTGGCTTAGCAAGACTTCCCCTTTCCCCCAATACTTCCTTTTAGCAATTTCCATCCTCTGACCCCATCCAGCTTCTTGGCTGCAAACCCCCATTGAGCCATGCTATGTTTAGTGTTGAGCCCAGCCTCTCACTCCCACTGCAAGACCCCATGGCAGTGGTCCCTACAACTGTTGTGATAGTGCTTAATAAAGTCTGCCTTACCATGCTTCAAGCTAGGATTTGAAGGACGATTAGACACTTATCAGACACTTTGGTGATGGAGATGCAGTTGATGATAAGAAATAGAGCCTTTATTAAAAGATAATGTTAACCAACCTAGGTGTACACCAAAAAGTGAATTTATAAAGAAAATGTGACATAAATACAATGTTAGAATAGTATTTTACTTTTTCTTAAAAGGAAATTTTTTCATTTATGAAAACATCAATGATCCTGGAGAACATTGTGTTACATGAAATAAGCCAGGCACAGAAAGACAAATACCACATGATCTCACTTGTATGTGAAACCTACAAGAGCTGAACTTATCGAAGGAGAGGGGGAATGATGATTACCAGGAGCTGGGGAGGTGGGTGTGGTTGGGGAGATGTTGGCCAAGTGAATATAAAATTTCAGTTAGAAAAAATCAATTGAAGAGATTTGTTGTAAAATGTGGTGACAATAGTTAATAACAGTGTATTGTATTCTTGAAAAAATGCAGTGAGGAGTTTTAAATATTCTTACCACAAAAAGTGATATGTGAGGTAACACCTATGTTAATTAGCTCGATTTAGCCATTGTATACATATCCACAATATATACATCTTTCAAAAAACAACATACTGTACATGATAAGTATATACAATTTTATTTCTATTAAAAATAACTTTTAAAAAGGATATAACTTAAAATATTAAACACAAAACTATTCAAAACAATGAAACAAGAAAACATCAAAGGAATTAAAAATAGTACACTAGAAAAATTCTACTTAACCCACAAGAAATAATAAAACAAGACTAGAAGATTACAAAAGAATTAGACACACAGAAAGCAAATAGACTGTCACCTGGCAGCATATACAAAAATAAGTCAAATTAAATCATAGATCCAAATATAAGCACCCAAACTATAAACTTTCCAGAAGAAAACAGGAAGGGAAATCTTCATGATTTGGGGTTAGCCAACAGTTTTTGGACACACTAAAATCAAAATCTATAAAAGAATGGTCATGGTTAAATTACACTTTATCAAAATTAAGAACTCTGGTGCTTCTAAAGACCACATTAGAAAATTAAAAATAACACAATCTGATAGAAAATATTTGTAAAAATTATATCTGATAATGAACATTTATCCAAGCTGCATAAATAACTTATAGAACTATATAATGAGAAAAACAACAACCCATTCTAAAAATAGGCTAAATATTTATTTGTTTTTTGTTTTTGAGACAGAGTCTGGCTCTGTCGCCCAGGCTGGAAGGCAGTGGCCCGATCTCCGCTCTCTGCAAGCTCCGCCTCCCGAGTAAAAATAGGCTAAATATTTAAGTAGGTATAAGCAAATGACTAATGAACCTATGAAATGTTCATTACCATTAGTCATTAGGAAAATGCAAATTAAAGCCACCATGATAACTTTATATCCATAGAATGGCTATAATCAAATGATAGACTATAGAAAGTGTTGAAGACAATGTGGAGAAATTGAAACATATATACATTGCTGGTGAGAATGTACAGCCACCTTGGAAAATGGTTTGGCAATTTCTTATGAAGTTAGACATAAACTTATGATATATCTCAACAGCTCTACTATTCAAACAAATTAAAAATTATGTATTCTTACAGAATTGTATGTAAATATTCATAGATACATTATTCATAAGAACCTAAAACTGAAAACATCCCAAATGTCTGTACATTAATTAATGGATAAATAAAATGTTATTCAACAAAAAAGAAGGAACAAAAGCTTGATACAAGCTACATGGATAAACTTCAAAAACATAATAAGTGAAAGAAGCCAGACACAAAGACCACATATTGTATAATTGTATTTACACTAAATGTCCTGAAATGTAGAGACAGCAGATTGTCGTGTCTGATACTGGGGGTGGCAGTGGGAACTGGTTGGAATTGAGCATGAGGGATCTTTTTGGCACAATGGAAATGTGTTAAAATTGCACTGTGGTCATGGCTTCACAACTTTATTAATTTACTGGAAATTTTTGAGTTGTACATTTTAAGTAGGTGGCTTTTATACTGAGTAAGTTTTAACGCATTAAAGCTACAAAAATAATGATAGTTAACGTGAAGAACTGTTTTGAAGCATCACTGATATCAAATTTATGTAAAAGAATCAGGCATACTTCCTGTCCTATAGTATATCTTGCAAAATTAAATAAACTATTAAGATAAGGCCTCCATTTTTAGATTGCAACAAATATTTAAAATTGAGTCTAAGGAGAGAAAAAAAATTACCAATGGGCCAAACATAACACATAATAAAATAGGGTAGGGAATTCTTATCTGTAAATCAGAAGTAGGGTTAAGGGTCAGTATGGATCCAAATATCTAAATAATCTAGTCCACATATATGAGGCAGGTGACTTACTTAAAACATTTGTAGAAAGATTCAACCCACCTCCTTACACACTGTGTGCATACTTCCACACTTGAACAAAGGTATTCCCTGTAGGCAATAAGATAATACAGCACCTGAGTATCCTGGAAAGCCACAGACCAGTGGTTCTCAAACTTCAGCATGCATTAGAGTTGCCCAGAAGGGCTTGTTGAAAGACATATTGCTAAACCGTACCAACAGACTTTTTGTTTCAATAGGCCTGGGGTGGGATACATTTGCAAATTTTATTTTATTTGATTTTTATTATTATTTTTAAGACAGAGTCTTGCTCTTTTGCCCAGGCTGGAGTGCAGTGGCACGATCTCGGTCACTCCAACCTCCACCTCCCAGGTTCAAGCGATTCTCCTGCCTCAGCCTCCTGAGTAGCTGGGACTACAGGCACAGGCCACCTCGTAAGTCCCCAGCTAATGCTGATGCTATTGGGTCCACGAAACACACACTGAGAAATTTACATGTAATATCGACATTATCCACAGTCCATGTTTATGGATTAATTGGCTTTATTTCAGAATTTAAATTAACAATCCATGTGCTTGAGAAAGAGGAAAAACAGGTTTTAAACAATAAAGTATGGACTTATTAGAGAAAGCATATACATTTTATTATTAATGACAAGGAATTTAAAGTTTTATTAAATCTATGAGATTTTTGTTTCATTCAGTATAAAACTGGTAATTATAATAAATTCCACCCACAAATGGAAAAGTGAATACAAACACAATAAAGAAATACAATTCAATAAGCCAGTTAAAACAGAGATTTTTTACACAGAATAATACTCAAATATTTTTGAAAATTACTTTGTCCTTTAAAGAGGGAAACTCAATTTCAGACACTGTAAGTGAGACTATATTTTCCTCTCTACATTATTGCACAGCTATTTGTAGGTCAGCCAGAAATATTTTCTCCCACTGTTTGTAGCTGTATCTACTTTGCCTATTAGCTCTAGTGATTTGAGAGCAGGGAAATGTCTGTGAATATTATGATTATTATAAATGTTTATAATCTTGAATGATGAAGTATAATTTATGCTTAGAATAATCTCATTTTAGAGGATGGCAAATGCGCAAACAATAGACACTGCCTAGATGTTTATAATATTGATGGTTGAAAAACCATATTGTTGAATATAAATTTGAATTTCTGGCATCACAATTATCTCCAGGTAAGGAGTACAATAAGAGTCTCTTCATAGTATTCTTGAGTACGTCTCTTTAACAAAGCTATTCAAATACTAAAAGGTAAACACTTAAAATTGCTTTTATTAATACTGGTGATTTTCTGTTCTCCAGTAGCCATATCTCTTCAGACTACCAGTGGGAGTTGGTAAATTGACATATGGAAACTGAATCCACATACTGGGAGGCCAGTTGTCCTCATCAATTTTCTTTATGGCCCCTGCAAAAATAGAAATGACAAAACATAATATACTAAAACTGTTCTCCAATTCAAACTGTTAAAGCAAGCTAAATATGGCCTGAGAAGGATTCCGTTCATCTATATTTGGGTCCTTGTGGATGAACTGTAACCTAGCTTAATAGACAAAATTGAAAACCTAATTTAGGAATAGGTATCTGTAACAATAGCTGAGTTTTGGGCAATCCCAATGGCCATACTTCAACCATTCATAGACTGTTAGGTGTTCAAACTGTGTTCAAATAAGGCAAATGCCAACCTGTAACCAATCCACCTATTTCTGTACATCACTGTTGATTTCTGTACTTCATTTCCCTTTGTCTATAAATCTTCTTCCACCACGTGGCTGTGCTGGAATCTCTGTGAATCTGCTGTGATTCTGGGGGCTGCTCAATTCACAAATCGTTCATTCCTCAATTAAACACCTTTAAATTTAATTCAGCTGAAGTTTTTCTTTTATCAAACCTTATGTAATACTTATTAAAGAATCAGGAACGTACTTTGATTCAAAAACTATTTTCTTGAAGAAGGCACTATATAAAGGTAAGATGGGGGTGAGGAAAATGGGCAGATGTTGGTCAAAAGGTACAATCTTTAAGCATAAGATGAACAAGTTCAGGGGATCTAACAAACAGCATAGGTAGTGATGTAATTAATTTGATATGCATCATTACACAAAGTATATTAAATCATCACATTGCATACCTTAAATCTATACAATATTTTGTCAATTAAACATTTCAAAATTAATTCAAATAAACTTTTGATATGTGGTCCAAAAAAGGGGACTTTATCCCCTTAACAAATTTTAGCTAGTGACCAGAAAGAAGTTAAATATTGATGTACAATTATATCTCTGAACTCCATGTATCCTAAATATAACTTTCTATCAGAAAATAAGCTATTGTATGACAGTGATAACAATCATTATTAGAAGCTCACGATAATGTGTTGATTTTTAGTGTCAGGGATTACGCCATATATATATATATATATATATACACACATTATTTAATTCTTACATCCCTACTTCATAGGGATGACAATCTCCATTTTATGGATGAGAAAACTGAGACTTAAAAAGGTTATAAAACTTGCCCGTTGTTATATAGATAAAAAGTGCCAAACCAGGCTTAGAAACTTAGGATTGAAACTAGGTCATTTTTTATGAGTTTAAGTGGATTGAAAAAGTTATCTAGATTAATTCTTTTATTTTATAAATAAAATAAGAAGCCACAATGGATAAGCCCCCAGCTAAAGGTAGAGTCAGGATTATAATACACTAATACACATTTCTCAAATTCTAACAACAAATAAAAATATGAATTGGTTCCTTTACATTAAACCTGTTACTGTGTTGTCTTAACCCTTAACTATTACAGTTTACAGACAGAGAGAGAATCGGCGGTTGGGGGGAGAGAGAGAGAAAGAGAGAGAGAGAGAGAGGGAGAGATTTAACCCAAGATGTAACTTTCAGGCTATGGGTACTACAAGAAATTAATTCATTGAGTAGATACATGTTATGAATTGCTTATGTGTCAGGAAATGTTCTAGACACTAGGAATACAAATATGATTATAATTTGTATATATTCTCTCTCTCAGAATACCTCTCCCTTTAAGAAAACACAGGTAGCATAATAGGCCAAAGGTTCTTTGGGACACATATGAGCAGAACTATAGGGGGCTGAATGGTAGCTCTTCAAAATATATGTCCATGTTCTAACCTCGTAACCTGTGAATGTGACCTTATTTGGAAAAAGGATGTTTGCAGATGTAATTAAGGATTTTGAGATGAGATCATCCTGAATTATCTGGCCCTAAATTAAATGCCAAACCCTTAAAAGTCATTATAAGAAGGAAGAGAGAGATAACACAGACCAGAGACAACACACACAGAGGAGAAAGCCCTGAAGAGCGGAGTGATGCAGCCACAGGAGATTCCTGATGCCACTAGAAGATGGAAGAGACAAGCAAAGACCCTCCCCATGGAGCCTTCGGAGGGAGGCTTAACTGAGGGAGGCTTAACTTTTAAGCCTTCAGAGGGAGACTTAACTTTTGACCAACACCTTAACTTTTGACCGTTGGCTCCCGGAAAATTGAGAAAATAAATTTCTGTTGTTTTAAGCCAGGAAGTTGTGATAATTTGATACAAGAGTCCTAAGAAACAAATATAGGCACATATATGGATTTTCCTAGCCCTAGAAGAAGAGGTGTTCTAAGCAACAATTTTTGAAATAGATCTGTCATTAAGCTTCCTCTAATGTGGCAGTGAACTAAATAGCAACAGATATTTATGTTAAATGTCTGTATCAAGGAAGTTTCCTATAATAAGCAATTAAGAGTTAAAACTTTGGGTCTGGCATTGTGGCTCATGCCTGTAATCCCAGCACTTTGGGAGGCAGAGGTGGGTGGATCACCTGAGGTCAGGAGTTCGAGACCAGCCTTGCCAACATGGTGAAACCCCGCCTCTACTAAAATACAAAAATTAGCCAGGTGTGGTGGCAGGCACCTGTAATCCCAGCTACTTGGAAGGCTGAGGCATGAGAATCGCTTGAACCTGAGTGGAGGAGATTGCAGTGAGCCAAGATCCTGCCACTGCACTCCAGCCTGGGCAACAGAGGGAGACTCCATCTCAAAATAAATAAATAAATAAATAAATAAATAAATAAATATAAAACAACTTTGAATTTAAGAAATCTACTAATTATCTTATTTATTAAACAACAGGCTCTGAGTCTTGAAGTACTAAAGTCTGTGACTATAAAACATGGTACATTTCTAAGATTTTCCCACTGTACTACATAATGGTTTAATAATCTATTTAATGGTATTCAACAGCTCTTCCACATTTGGAACCAAATAATTAATTCTCACAAGTTTGAAAACATAAGCAAGCATTATTTATCATGAATTTAAACATTTAACAAGAATGCAGCAGAAATAAAAGCACTATTTTCTTTATAAAACTCTGTCTCACTGGGATAAAATATAATCTTTGGACCAAACTAGCATCGTCATCATCCTACTCATCTTCATAATTTAATCTTCATCCAAAAAGCCTGCATCTACTAAAATACTAGGTCATAAGTGGTGTTGAATAAAAATACCAAAACACAAAAGTACTGTTCACTTGAAAGGAAAAAAGATGAAGGTTTAGAACCCAAATGGATCATTTGTAAACATTTAAATACTAGGAATCAGAATCACTTATTTTCTGAATGAAAATTCAGGTTATGGAACTTGAAAAGTACATCCAGGGAAGTAACTTCACATCATAGATGAGGTCACTACATCACAGAGAAGTGAATTACCCAATTTGCACAGTCTATGGCAAAGGTGATATCTGAAATGTGATCTCAATTCCCTAGCCAATGCTATTTCCAAGATTCCTTATTCACATTTTTATATCTAAATAATGCATTACTATCAATGTTACCAAGACAAGTGAAGGGTTTTTTGTAGGTAGGTGTTGGATTAGGGAGAAGAAGAAGCTTGAGATGATCATTCTATTGTATGAACATCAATAAATTTCATATAATTATACTTCCCACACAAAGAGTAACCCAACTTAGATTTAATGATCATGAACTGTTATTTTGTTGGCTTAAAACATATGTTGTCTCAATAAGTAATATATTCTAACAGGTGGCATTCAGCTATTACTAAATTCCTACCTCTACCCATTGAAAGCTTTTAGAAGGGTTTCTACTCGAAAGCCCTAGTCCTCAAATGCCCGCCAGGCTATTATGAGATTATTTATTTAAACCACACAGGCTTTTCAAGTGTACAGACGTTTATAATTCTTTTATACACTCTGACAAAAGTAAAAGTTGCAATTCTAACAATAACCTTAACATTTAACCAAAATACACTTAAACTACACTTGTTAGAATATAAATATTACACTCATCCATAGACACGGTTAGGCTATTTTCCTCATGTAAGGTCAATGTACTAGAGCAGGTGGTAGGATGGACAGACTAAATTAAAAGAAATAAATTTCTCTTCCTTATTCCACTTATGTGTGGTATTGAACACAGTCAAACTCATAGAAGCAAAGAATAGAATGATGGTTGCCCGAGACTTGGGGTGAAGGTTTATGGAAATGGAGAACTGCTCCTCAGTGGGTAAAAAGCTTCTGTTTTGCAAAATGCGTTCGTTCTAGAGACCTACTGTATAACATAGTACCTATAGATAACAACACAATATTGTACACTGTAATATATCTTAAAAGGATAGATCTCATGTGAAGTGTTCTTACAAAAATGAAACATGGAAATATTTTGGGGGTGATGAATATATTTAGTATCTTGGTTGTGGTGATGCTATCACTGGTATATGCATATGAAGTAATTCATCAAGATGTGTATGTTAAATGTGTACAAATTTTTTTTTTTTTTTTTTGAGATGGAGTTTTGCTCTTGTCCCCAAGGCTGGAGTGCAATGGCGTGATCTTGGCTCACTGCAACCTCCGCTTCCCGGGTTCAAGGGATTATCCTGCCCCCACCTCCCAAGTAGCTGGGATTGCAGGCACATGCCACCACATCCAGCTAATTTTTGTATTTTTAGTACAGACGAGGTTTCGCCATGTTGGCCAGGCTGGTCTCGAACTCCTGACCTCAAACGATATGCCTGCCTTGGCCTCCTAAAGTGCTAGGATTACAGGCCTGAGCCACCAGGCCTGGCCAAATGTGTACAATATTTGTATATCAATTATACTTTAATGCAGCTAAAACAGAACAAATGCCCTTTTTTTTTCTTTTGGGTAAAGGGATGGTTTCTGGTGATTATTTGAAACGGAGTGTGCAAACAGTTAAGTCTGACGTAACTTTTACCTACCTTATTTTCTTCTCCCGTTATCTTTGCCAGTGAGTCATTAGGCATGAGCTTGTGACATAACTTTGAACATGAGGTGAAGGTGAAGTTTCCTATTGGGCTATGGAAAAGATTTCTTATTCCCTTGAAGAGGCACAGAGGAAAAGGCAGGCTCTTTTCTCCCTGGATGTGGTTGTGTAAGACTGCGTTTCCTTGAATTGCAGCAGCTATCTTGGGACCCTGATAAGAAACTCACCTCAGGAGAAAATTGACAATGCAAATGTAGAAAGGGGTGATGGAAAGAACCTGAATGAAGACTTTAACATAGATGATCTGCTGAATTAACCAAATGCATGGCTCTACTACTCCTAGGTTTCTTGTTAGGTAAGATAACATATGCCCTTATTATTTAAGCCATTTTGACGTAGAAGTTTTTTGTTAAAGCCAACAGCTTTCTAAAAGATGTCCAGAAGCAGATTATTGGGGCAATCAGGCAGAAAGGCAACCTGCCTAACAGATGAATGCTTTTAACTCCGTTTTCTTATGCCTAACCTATTCCAGGTGTCTCTCATTCTTTAGACTTCAAGGCTCCCTCATGATTTTACATTAAGTTAGAGTTACTCATTGAAGATTATTTGCTTTTGTTTGATTAGGGCAGGGTGTGTTTACAGCTGAAAATACAGAGATAATAAGTATTAAATGTAAATGACTCCTGCAAAAAAAATCATAAAGAAGCAGGTTTTTCCACTCCAATCAGACAATAGAGAGGATGCCACCTAGCATTGCTATCTGCATAGCAATATTCAGGAGACAGTTTATTGTCTAAATAGTTCAGACTCTCACAATTCAAGCACTCTTTTTTTTGGCAAGCTATTTTCTCCAATGAATATACACCTCAAACATTTTTAAATGTTTTTTATATATAGGTGAATATTTATTTTGACATAAAATAGAATTTATTTGAAACTTACATTCATTTTTGCAATGAGCAAGTGACCTAGATTTCTTTTTTAACTTGTACAAATTCAGTGACTCAATCTTGACTCACATTTACCTTTACCTGAAGGGTCTTGTTTCACTAGTTTGATTGTAAGTTGAGAAATTGAGACAAGAAATTTTTACGAAGTTTCATAACATGATTAAAAATTGTTTCAAGAACACTGTTTTTCATGTGAATTATGTAAAAGATAATGTTCCCTTTTATAGAGATGGGTGGCATGACTGCCTCTTAGTATAGCCATAAATGTAGGTTTATCCATAAAATATTAAACATTTACATCCAGCATTCCAGAATCAAGATACTTTATTACCTCAAAATTTTAGGTAGTTAATATGGTAGATAGTGTTGAAGAACTGCTTGTTCACTTTCTTCAATATGGCCCAACTGAGTTAATAAAGTGACATTTTATTTGGAAGGTAAGCTGAATTCAGATATGATTATTCTTGTTTCTTTCATATTATAATTTTATGTATTCCAATGGAAAATTGAGCTTCGTTTGAATGAGTAAAAATGAATTGAGGATTAAGCTGTCTGTCTGGATATGTGTTCAAATGTTTGGCAATAATATAATGTGCTACGTAGACCTCTTGTATCCTTGTGATCTTTATAGGGGATCCACATGGTCAAGTCTATTTTTTTCTAATGATACTAAGACCTTTTGTTTTGTTTCACTCAACTGACATTTGCACTGATGGGACAATAGCATTGTGGGTAAAATGTCTTGAACGTTAGAATAGATCAAGACACTCAAACCCAAAATTACAGTAGTCATTATGTTGTTTACCATCCAGCCATCACAGGAAAACAAAAACAAAAAAAGTCGGTTTTACTTAAAAGTATACGCAGTAAAGAAGTAAAACTATTGATTTTATTATATCTCAACCATTAAATCCACAACTCCTTGGTATTCTGTGTGATGAAATGGAAAGTATTTATAAAACACTTTTGCTGAAAGCTGAATGATTATGTTATTTTAAGGAGAAGTTCTTAAATAATTGCATGAATTCTTATCTGGGGCCTTGTTTCACAGAATACCATCTGTACGTAAAAAACCATTGGCACTATCAAATTTGGGTATTGGCCAGACATTTTCTCAAAATGAATGAAGTCATCTTATCACTTTGAAGAAAACAATGAATAGTATTTTTTGCCAGTAATAGGATTTGAGCTTTCAAGTAAAGATTTATATAACTCAGTGATTGAAACAACATTTTCTAAATGACTAGTGAATAATTTTTTTTAAACACGTATGGGTAGAATATCCATTCATGTCCCAGATGGACTATTGGATTTTGTTGTAACACAGTAAGAAAATTTTATAAATACAATTTCAGCTTCTATATTAACACTACCCTTTAAAAAACAATCATTTGTCAAATTTTTGTGTAATATCAGATAATATTCACGATTATCTTAAAAGAATATTTAAATATTTCTCCGCTTTCAACTACATATTTATTTGAGACCAGCTTTTATTCATATATTCAAACCAAAACAATGTATTGCAGCAGAATGAATAAGAATTAGATATAAGAATCTAGCTGTCTTCTATTAAGCTGGACATTAAGGAAGTTTGCAAAAATATAAATCAGTATCACTCTTTTTTTGTAAAAATAATTTTCATTGAAATTATTTTTGGTATTTAATCAGTTTAATTATTTTATGTTTAAATAACATGCATGTTTACCTTTTAATTTGTGTGTGTGTGTGTGTGTGTGTGTGTGTGTGTGTGTGTGTGTGTGTGTGGTGACGGAGTTTCACTTTGTTACCCAGGCTGGATGGAGTGCAGTGTTGTGATATCTTGGCTCACTGCAACCTCCGCTGCCTGAGTTCAAGCGATTCTCCTGCCTCAGTCTCCCAAGTAGCTGGGATTACAGGCATGTGCCACCACACCTGGCTACTTTTTGTATTTTTAGTAGTGATGGGGTTTCACCATGTTGGCCAGGCTAATCTCCAATTCCTGACCTCAGGTGATCCGTCCACCTTGGCCTCCCAAAATTATCTTTCAAATTTTAAAACAGCAAATACTGATAGGTACAAAAAATATACAAAAGTCTTTGGGGTCCTCAATAATTTATTATATGGCAAAAGAGTCATGAAACTAAAATATTTGAGAACTAGTGGTATAAGGTGACAGATAACAGTTACTTTGATTATATGCTGCGTTAGAGACATGCCCAGTACAAAAATAGACTATGGGGACTCCAGAGGGGGAAGGGTGGAAAGGGTGTAAGAGCTGAAAAATTATGCACTGGGTACAATATCTAGTATTTGAGTGATGGATATACTAGAAGCCCAACTCCCACAATTACACATGTAATGCCCATGCAACAGACAAGCACATTTACCTAGCTGAATCTAAAATAAAATTCTAAAAAGACTAAAAAAAAAAAAGATGAAAAAGAAAAATGCTGAATACTATCTCCAAAATCTAAGAATGAGAAACTCTGTTTTCTTACTTAGAATTTGTTACATGTTCCTATAGGTTTTAAAGACATTGACCAGAAATTTTCTGGAGGTCTTTCATTCATATCTTTGGCAACATGTTGATAATAACTACGGCAGCTATTACTTATTCACCTAATGCACTGCCAGACACTCTGGTAAGTGCTTCACACGCATGACCTCACTAACTCTTACAACTTCATGAATTTAGAATTATTTATGCTTGTTAGGAATTTTTTATAAAAGAAACTCAGGTAGAATTATTTTATCAGTCGTCATGTTTCTTACATGAGAGAGAGAAAGGGAATATTTTTCTCTAAGTGCCAGACACTGTCTTAAGCACTGGAAATGCCAAAGTGAACAAGACAATACAGGTTCCTGATCTCATAGACTTTACATTCCAGTGGTTTAGACGAATGATAGAAATGTAATTAAATCATTAAGATAAGTACAACTAATAATATAAACCTATTTATAAATAGCACCTATGGTGGTCAAGGATGATCTCCGTGGGAAATCAACACAAGTTCTAAGATATGAAAGCCAGCAACTGACAATATACATGAGCCAGAGAGAAAAGTAAGAGCAAAGGACCTGTGGCTGGGATACATTTGTTAAAATTCTAGAAGAGAAATAAAGTACACATAGCTCAAGTGTTGTGGCTGAGATAGAGAATTGGAGGAGATGCTGGATAGATATGCAGGGGATATCCTGGAGGGGGTTTTAGACCATAGTTGAAAGACTGGATTTAATGCTAAGTTTTATTAGAAGCCCTTATACTTAATCAAATGCCAGTGGCCCCAGTGCTCTGCTGCTTTTTTAACATGAATTAAAAATTCATGTTTTTTCAACTCTGCCAATAACTGTAACATCATAACTGTTTCAAAAGAGAGCCAGAGAGATAGAGTTGATTTTAAAATAGATAAGAATTGCTTTGTAGGAACAAAAATATTTGTACATCCCAGGTGGTTTTTAGAAGAAGGAAAATAAAACCTATTTCTCTAAATGGTAGGAGAAGTTGGAAAACCCAACCATGAGCTTAGTGAGTCAACCAAGTGAAATCTCATTTCCAGGAACCAAAACAGTATATCTTCTCTTTGGGTATGTATTCACGTGTGAGTTTTATTTGTTTCCTATTGATTGACTAATGCCTGGGGGGAAATGGTAATGTAGAAAATTGCAAGTACAAATTTGGAATTTGTTGTAAACTTGTAATGGATATATAAAGAAAAACTACAACCGGAAAATTAGAAAGGGCCAATTGAATGAGAAATAGATTAAGCTGATGTTGGGCTTGGAAAATTAGAGAACCATATTTTTTTAAGTTTAAATAAATAGTATCAGGATTCTCCCACTCCCCAAGATAGGCTGAAAACTATAAATTTCAATACCCTAAAAGAGAGATTGCATAAAAATGAAATGAGCTTTGTAAGGGGAATTTCAGAAGTTGGCATACCAGTTTTTTCTACCAAGTAGCTTTAGCTGAACCCCCCAAAAAGGGAAAATTTTGTTTATAACAGATGAAGAAGATAGTTAAACCTCAGTAAATAGGTTTTGGAATTTTAAGAGAGAAAACCCAGATTCACAGTTGATGAATACATAAACACTCTATTATATACACTTTAAAGAGACAATGAATAAAAAATATTATTCTTCCATCACAGAGAGTAATTATCACTCTAAAATATATTTTCTACGTGTATTGACCCTGAATTGAGAGAAAATGTATAACACTCATATCTTTTAATATTATGCTTGTTTTAATCTATCTCTATACTAAAGTAATAACTGAAGGCATATTAAAAATAATTAGTTTTAAAATTTTAGAGATTCTTACTGTAGAAGAGAAATGGAAAAGAGTTAGAGTCACTTAAACAATTCGGCCATGAAGGCACAGGCTATAATAAGACCCATCGGCAAGCTTCAGCCTTCTGGTGTGTTTTTGTTAAAAACAAAATAGAATCATTATTTCTAACTCAGGAGAAATTGTATACACACCGGTTTGTGGGCTTCTTTGGAATCAAAAGAAAAGCTGGCAACATTAGACCTGCATTCTGCAAGAAAATAGTGGCTACTTCCCCTTCCAGATTGGGCATGAATGTCTCTGCTCTTCTTGTTTCTTTCCCAACACCCCTGATGGGCCCCAACACCCTTGTTGGGCCCCAAAACCCAGCAGCCAGGTCTGGCTTCATTTATTGATACAATCTTTCTGAACCTTGCAGGCATTTGGAGCCCCTAAGTCTGTAACATTATGCAGATCTCAATGGAAACTAAACAGTTAGGATTTATTACCTAGTGCCTTCTTCATATATCTGGATATTTGACTATTTATCTTTCTTATACTTGAGGAAATAACTACACATTTATGAAAGTATGTATGTATGTGTGTATTTGTGTATTTGTCTCTCTCTCTCTCTCTCTCTCAATACATACAGCGAGAGGGAGAGAGAAAGAAGCATATACTTACACGTAATTATGCAGTTATCCCCACAAATATTTAAATATTGCCTTCTACACTCAGATCCTGGTGAAGACAGAGTAAAAAGCATAGCAAAAACAGCAACCACACATTCTTTGATGCAGAAAAATTACAAGCCCATAGGTGATCTTGATTCTAAATGAAACTTCTCAATAACTTCTTATGGTACGGATGACACAATTTTTTTAAATAAAGGACAATTTCTCTAACTTGGAATCCCTCAGCCTTTAGGTACCTGTTTGCTTTTGTTGTTGCCAAAGGTTATTGGGACATAGCAGAAATGACAGATTGTCTGGAGACCATAAGGCTGCTAGAAGCCCAAGGCAGTCCAGGCAGCACCAGGGAGCAAACTTCCACAGACTGCCAGGCCCTGTGCTCTTTAATCAGGACTGCTAAATGATCCAGGTGGCATGGATTTCGGGCCCCTTAGAATAATGCAGAAAAAAATAGTGAATATTCCCTTCCCAACTGTCCCTTTTGGCTCTTCTTCACTCAATACAAAATCCTTGGGGGCAAAGGAGACCTACTTTTAAGGAGGGGCCAAATATCCTCTGTTCATCTATGAGAATACAAAGAAATTACAAACCTAAGGGAAAGCAAAACAAAACACCAACAACAACACAAGAAGAACCTGTTTATCAGACCCAGAAAAGGGCAGAAATAGCCACAAGTCTAAAGATTTCTAAAGGCACTTCAAATAGAATGTATGATTTTAACCTCTTATTGTACTTCAGATGATTGTTCCCTGCATGAACTAGGTCAGGTCCCTGGACTAAAACTCGGCTCCCTCTGAATGTCTGCCTTAGGGGTATACTTCCGTCACCCCAATGTCTTTTGCAAACTCTAGAATTCCCATTTGAGGTTGATTTCTAATTCTTAGTGCCTCCATTAAATTGAAGGTTTATCTTTCTTTATTCCCCTTATTCTCTTCACTGGCAACCAGGCCCTCATTTGCCTTGCCTGGTACCCAAAGTCTCAGGTCCTATCTGCCCCTTCTCACACCCATCACTGGCTCTCAAGACTCTCACTGGTCAAGTGGTTCACCAGAGAGACATGTGTCAAACATAAAATCAATATCACGTTAGAGGCAAAGTTAATATGGTGTTGAGTCACTTACAAACCTAGCTTTGATTCACTCCAAGGACTGTACTCTTAATAGCAATAAAAATTTTACTAAATCCACAAGAAAGTGGGTGAATGGAAGGGACAGAATGCACTGGTGGGTTCAGAGGTGAATGCACCCTCATGAGCTTGAAAATCAAGAAAAAATGCTCCTCCGTGTACTCCAAATGGACAGGTAAAGTTTGAATATAAAGTCCAGAAGTAGTGAGTATCCTGGGATGGAGAACAAAAAGACAAAGGTGACAGTTTAGAATCTACTGGGGCACATTGTGAGAACAATGAGGAAATGGTCTGTTTAAGCCATTTTGTTTCCAACAGGAGAGCAGCTGTGGAAGCTAAGACCATGTTCTAAAATAACATGTCTTAATGTACGCATTATTCCCATTCACAAAAACATCTACTAAAGTGCAGTGCTTAGGAGTATGAATTCTACTTTAAAGAGACAAATTTGAAATGTCCACTGACATTAACGCTCGGTGTGAACAACATTAAATCCTATATCCTGTCTATGACTTATTTTCCTACTATTTAGAGTAGGAATATTATTATTTAGTTTCTAGACAGATTGGGTAAATTGAATGAGGTAATGCATGGAAAAATTAAACAAAATATCTTGCACATAGAATTATTCAATAATTATATCATTAATTATTCAATCATTTGATATTTTTGAATCATCTATTTGGTTATATTTGCTGTGCTTGACACAAGTACTAGAAGGATGAGTAACATTGAGTTCCTGGACTCATCTCATCGTCTGTGAAGAAAGAGAGAAGTTAACCAATAGTTTTAATACCACATCATATGTAATGTGTTGAAGGTAAATACAAAAGGTCTCACCCCAATGCAGTGGAATGAGTAACACCTGAGGCCAAAGGGTTTGCGGTGCTAAGGAGCAATACCTGATTCAGGACTAGGAGGTCAGATCAGTTTTCCACAACATGGAAGTAAGAGCTGACAAAACAGAAAGGATCTTCCAAGCAGAAGGAAACGTAGGTACAAAGGTCTCCCAAATAGTTCAAATTGACTTAGTCGAATGGTGCACCAGGAGCACACCCGGCCAGGACAGGAGACAGGATTGGAGAATTTCCCAAGGACCTGACATTCGTTCAGTACTGATTCAAGTAGTGTTGGTGGAGGTTGTTACTTTCTGCATGAAAATCACAAGAAAAAAAGAAGGAAGGCGAGTGACTTCATAGAGTCTCTTATGATGATTAAAAGCATTGGCTTTGGAGACAGGGAGGCTTTGCATTTTTAAACACGGTTGTTACCTTCATAGCTTCAGGTAAGTTAACTGGTGCAAATCTCATCTTCCTTATCCATAAAATGGGGACATTTTCCCCATGGAATTACAATGGTGATTAAATAAGGTAATGTTAACAAAACAATTAGATCAGTGCCTGGCCTATAACCCAGATTCTGTATTTGCTATCCCCACTTACCACTGATTATTTTATTAATGGAAAGGCTTTGTTAGAGAAGTCACAATGAAAGGGGTGGCCCTTTATAACATGTGGCCCTACTCCTGTAAACATAGCTGGTTTTACCAAGGCTTCAAAAGTGACACAAAATTCTTTCAAGTAATGTGAAAGTTGAGTCACTTAAACGTTATGCTTGAACTAAGATGTCACAATGGAAATATGAGAGAACACTTACTAGTTTCTTACTATGTGTCAGGTATATAGTTACTATGTTATCCAATTATCAACCATACTTTACAAATTTAAAAAGAGAAGGACTGAAGTAAATTAGTCAAGTCATCATAAATAATCAATAATTTATTAATTCAGTGTTTGATTTAAAAGGAAAGTTTGAATTGGATTATGTAAGCTGAAAGCTCTTGCATAGAAAATAGGAAAAAAAATGTAAATTTTATTGTTGATTGATTGGTGGCAATCTTGGACACGCTCTTTTACCCTCTCCAGCCCTTGTCTTCCACATCCGTAAAGTGAATAGATATGTTTGAGGCATGCTAAAAATTTTATGTTTTTATAATTTTATGTTAGTTTTCTATAGATTTATCAGTCAAGCTGGACTTTTCTATATCTTCTTGGGAAATTTCTGAAATAATTTAATTTAAAAAGCTACTAGAAGTTAATATATTATCCCATCATAGAATTAAAAATTCCTAACATTGTTATTCACACTTCCTCACTTCTTTTCCCAGGCAGGCATTGCAAATCAATCACCACACTCATTCTTGCCAAGACTGGATGAGGCCCGATTATCTCAGTGAAATCAGAAATGACAGATGAAGTAAAACTTATTTGTCAAGACATCTGCATAGTGATGTCTTGAAAAAGAAAAAAAAACCTCTAGATTTCACACGAACCATTTTGAATACAAAGTTTGCTATGTTGGGGCCAAAATACGCTCATTTTTTTTACAGCTCCTTGAATTCTGCCTGCCATCAACAAAATCAAGCACCATGTACTTCTTACAGCCTTTCCAGTTATCCAACCTAACACTAATACCTCTCATTTTGTTTAGTAACCAGAGGACCAGCTTCCTGGGCCTTGATTATATCAATTTGGAGCATGATTATATAATGTCTTATAGAGTTAAACGAGTTTTTCTTACATTTATTCATTCGTTATTCAACAAATATTAGCTAATTTGTTTTTATAGATGAGGCAGTGATCTAGGCACTATAAATAAAACATGAAGATGATAGACACAGATTCTACAACTGAAGTTCCTTTTTTACAGTAGATAGGCAAAAACTATAAAATGTAATTAACGGGTTATAGGAACACAGAGTAGGAGTGTCTGAGGCATGAAGGAAGTCTTCCTGGAAAACATGAATTTGAGTTCTAGAGGATGTGTAGTAATTAGAGAAATACAGATAAAAGCAATGGGGTTCCATGATAAGGGGACATGAGGAACAAACGTCTAGAGCCAAATGAAAGGATGATAAATTAGTGAAGGAGGGAGAATTCAGCAAGTCTCAGGTACAAAGTGAAAAATGGTAAGAGATAAAGTTGAAGAACAATAGACGGATCTATTAATAAATGTTCTTGGAAACAAATTCAACTATGGATAACTTTTTAGAAATAAAAATAATTTAAACTGGCTGATATGGTTGGGCTGTGGGCTGGGCCCAGGCCCCCCTTGCTGTGTGCAGTCTAGTGACTCGGTGCTCTGCATCACTGCTGCTCTAGCAGTGGCTAAAAGGGGCCAAGGTACAGCTCAGGCCATGGCTCCAGAGGGTGCAAGCCCCAATCCTTGGCAGCTTCTACATGGTGTTGAGCCTGCAGGTGCACAGAGGTCAAGAATTGAAGTTTGGGAACCTCCACCTGGATTTCAGAGGAGGTACTGAAATGCCTGGATGTCCAGGTAGAAGTTTGCTGCAGGGATGGGGTCCTCATGGCAAACCTCTGCTAGAGCAGTGTGGAAGGGAAATGTCAAGTTGGAGTCGCCACACAGAGTCCCTACTGGGGCACCCCCTAGTGGAGCTGTGAGAGAGGGCCACCATCCTCCAGACCCTAGAATGGTTGATCCACTGACAGCTTGCACCATGCACCTGGAAAAGCCACAGACACTCAATACCAGCCTGTGAAAGGAGCCAGAGGGAGGCTGTATCCTGCAAATCCACGTGGGCGGAGCTGTCCAAGACTATGGGAACCCGACTCTTGCATCAGTGTGACCTGGATGTGAGATATGGAGTCAAATGAGATCATTTTGGAGCTTTAAGATTTGACTGACCTGCTGGATTTCAGACTTGCATGGGGCCTGTACCCTTTTGTTTTGGCTAATTTCTCTCATTTGGAATGGGTATATTTACCCAATACCAGTACACGAATTGTAGCTAGGAAATAACTAACTTCCTTCTGATTTTACAGGCTCATAGGCGGAAGGGACTTGCCTTGTCTCAGATGAGACTTTGTACTGTGGACTCTTGAGTTAATGTTGAAATGAGTTAAGACTTTGGGGGACTGTTGGGAAGACATAATTAGTTTTTAAATGTGAGAACACGAGAGTTGAGAAGGTCCAGGGGTGGACTGATATGGTTTGGCAGTGTCTCCATCCATATCTCATCTTGAATTGTAGCTCCCATAATTCCTACGTGTTGTGGGAGGGACCCAGTGGGAGGTAATTGAGTCATGGGGTGGGTCTTTCCCATGCTGTTCTCATGATTGTTAATAAGTCTCATGTGATCTGATGGTTTTATAAAGGGGAGTTCTCCTGCACAGGTCCTCTTGCCTGCCACCATATTAGACTTGTCTTGCTTCCCCTTCAACCTCTGCCATGATTGTGAGGCCTCCTTAGCTATGTGGAACTGTGAGTCAATTAAATTTCCTTTCTTTATAAATTACCCAGTCTTGGGTATGTCTTTATTAGCAGCATAGGAACAGACTAATACACTGGTTAAACCACATAATTGAGATAGAAGCTGTGTAGTCAGATCACAAGAAATGTAGAAACAAAGCGGTTCCCAGAGATCTCAGTAGCAGAGATTCATGATATCTTCGTTAGGGCACAGTCATTGCATTGCATTGACTCAGTTCTGACCAACTTTGGTCCTTTTTGGCACTCTACTATGTATTCAATTCTTGGAAAAGATCGATTGATCTCATTTGGTTCATGTCCTCATTCTCTAGAGCAACACTGTTGTTGACAGTCCTAACAGAACACTATGAAATGGGAGAGGTAATTTCTTCTGAAACAAATATGCGTAGGTGCACTATGTAGGCAAAAGGAGCTGCAAAGGACAAAGAGCAACAGACTCAAGACATGCATACCACATCATCATGATAAATCTGGATGCTAAACTAAAGAAAATAGCGTGACACTGGGCAATTCATACAGGAGAATGACATGAGCAGGTCTGCACTAAAGATAGACACAATGAGATATGGATTACAGGTAGATCATCCTGAAGGCCTAAGGTTATAGAAGTGAGAGATTATGGATGGAGATCTGAATAAGATAGTAGTAGGAGGAACAGAGAGAAGAAAACTGGTTCAAGAGATATTAACCTGTAGAAGGAAAAAGGCAAGGAGAAGCCGTATGTATTAGAGCAGCTAGCACATTTTCAGGAACAAAGCAATAACTCAGCAAATATCTATTGATATGACATAAACACAGAACCCTATGTCTTAGAAGGTGCTTAGTAAATTTTGGCATTTATAGACATTCTATGCATTACAACACCTGAATTTTTTCAAGTTGCTCTTCATTTTCTTTACATAATTCATAATAATTTCTTTAATCCCTCAATCTTCATAGTTGTATTGCCTAATTATAAGTAAGGATGCTTGCATTTTTAGGGAAAATGCATTTGTTTCATTTGAAGAAGAATCTTTATGTTAGAATTAAATTGAACATTTAGAATAAATAGTTTCAAACATGCACCTGTTGCTTAAAATGCAAGAAGATAGAAAACCTTGGTAGGTGGACATGTAAGAGTAACTCTAATAAATCTTCCAAAATTTTACATTTGTTAATGATGATAGCCTTTACAAAGCTCAGATTTCAGCTTTTTTCTCATCTACAACTGTGACAAATACAGTATTTTTCACCCATTTTGAGAAAATAAAACAATTTTCTTGGCACGTGGAATTTCACAGTAATTAATTGGAGATATGGATGTTAATAAGATTTGATGTAATCTAATTTGTATGAATTAAATCATTTTAGTTGTTAAGCTTGTGTAATGGCAGCCCACATTTTAGATAATTCCTTGTTTCTGGAACAAAGTAAGATGAGCAAGGAAAAAAAATATCACCAAAATGTGTAAAACAAAACCAAAAGAAAAACATTGTAGAAAAAAAGGTTGCTTTAGCATACCAACCTGAGTAAGGTTTTAGGAGTTACAGATGAAAATCTATAGTCATCGTCCTATGCACCACTGTCACAAAAGAAGAAAATGCTAAAGGTTGCTTTAGCATACCAACCTGAGTAAGTTTTTAGGAGTTACAGATGAAAATCTATAGTCATCGTCCTATGCACCACTGTCACAAAAGAAGAAAATGAGAAAGTAGGGTAAGGGCTCAGGAGAGTTAGAATTGAAATATAAATTAAATGTAATCATGCAGTGTATTACCACCTATGCACCTGCACAGCTCAAAAACCCATTTCAGCATAAACACAGCAACGGGCTGTTCCATCTGTAACTAGCTGACCTCAAAAGAGAAAATAAAATGATCTATTTTCACAATTGAAGCGTACTCTTGAGTAAAGAAATGTGATTTTAAGGGCATAGTTGGCACAGTGTTGCAATTCAAACGAACTGTTCGTTTGAAAGAATATCATTGATCAATCTCCTTTTTTTTTTCTTCCTCTCCTATCCCCTTGTCTTTTTGAAAACTGGAAATATAAGATCCAAAATTTGAATTTGGAGGAATAAAACATTAAAAAAGAAATGATTCACAATTGATTGAAAACAAGTTTTCCAGTGATGATTTTAAGAACAGTGTATGTAATCATGTCCTATGCTCCAAAGTACAATTGCAATTATTTAGGCAAAAAAAAAAAAAAATCACCATTCTCCAATTACAACACCTAAATAGATTTTAATATGAACTCACACGCCTTGTGTATACATGGAGTTAATAACTGGTGAGCATCAAGCACTAGAGAAATGATTTCTTCCACCCTCCCAGGGAAGTTTGAGGGTCCTGAAACTTATATATTACATTATATAACCTATATATTACATATAATATACACACATATGTATATATACGGGTGTATATATATATATATATATATATATATATATATATATAGTCACATACATTCTAGATATAAACAATAAAAAAGAAATTGTGGTGCAAAGGAATATTATTCAGACTTAAAAGATAAGAGGATGCTTCCATTTGTGACAGTATAGATGAACCTGGAAGACATTATGCAAAGTGAAATAAACCAAACACAGAAAGAAAAATACTGCATGACTTTATTTATACATGGAATCTAAAAAATGTTAAATACATAGAAGTGGAGATAGTAGAAAAGTAGTTATCAGTGTGAGGAGGAGAAAATGGGAAGGTGTAGGTCAAGAGGTACAAATCGTAATTATGTACATGAACCTATCTGAAGATGCAATGTGCAACAAGAGAACTAAATTTCATATTATAATATACTATATTCCAGAATACATGAGTCAATAATAAAAAATCAATTTATGTATATATAATATAGTAAATAATTGTGCATACCTTATACAACTACTTCAGAAATATTCTAGCTAAAAAAATCAAAATATGCTATGCTTAATAAAAGTGAAAAAAATTCTCATATATAATTGTGATGGTTAATACTGAGTGTCAAGTTGATTGAGTTGAGGGATACTAAGTATTAATCCTGGGTGTGTCTGTGTGGGTGTTGCCAAAAGAGATTAACATTTGAGTCAGTGGGCTGGGGAAGGCAGATCCATCCTTAATCTGCTGGGCACAATCTAATCAACTTTCAGGAAATATAAAGCAGGCATAAAAGCCTGAAAAAGGAGAAAGACAGGCCTAGCCTCCCAGCCTACATCTTTCTCCCATGCAGGATGCTTCCTGCCCTAGAACATTGGACTCCAAGTTCTTCAGTTTTGGGACTCAGACTGGCTCTCCTTTTTCCTCAGCTTGCAGACAGCCTATTGTGGGACCTTGTGAATTAATACTTAATAAACTCCCATATACTTATATGAGGTATATGTGATGCTGTTCCTACATTTATATAAATGTTGGATTCATTGTTAAAAGACCAGATGGGTGTACAGTCTCCTGGACTACTCTCTCTCTCTCTCTCTCCATATATATATATATAAATATATATAATGTATATATAGAAATATATATAATATATAATAGGATATATATATATATATATATATCCTACTAGTTCTGTCCCTTTAAGAGAACTCTGACTAATACAGTAACCATTTTCCACTAGTATTTAGGCAGGTAAATACAGTAACCATTTTTTGCTAGTATTACACTAGTATTTAGGCAGGTAGATTAGGATATGTACTAATTAGTAGCAACATTTAAATAAGTGCAATATTGCATTACTGAGATAAAGTACCGTCATTGAAGGCATTGTTCTTTCTTTTTTTTTATTTAAAAAAAAGGAAAAAGAAATATGATTGCTAGTATTCATGGGCTTTTTCAGCAAGTTTGTTATATTTCTCACATTCTTGATATGTCTGTGATATAAAATATTTCCATTCAAACTGTAGCATATATAGGTCACTCATTCATTCATTTGAACATGACTTTAAAGAGAAAGTACTCATTTAAATACTTCTTTGTCAGAAATATATCATCCTCATTGTCTTGAGAAACTGTCCTTTTACAGGTCACCTAAAAATATGAAATTCTGTTTTACATGTGTAACTGAGTAATCAGGAAAGGCTTGGAAGTGGGTTCACTGGAGAGGTAAGTGAACACAAACCTTCTTTTGTCTTGAGAGTATCTCCCTAGTGGACTGTAACTTGGGTTCTAACAGAGCATGGTCACCGATGGCCAATACATTCAGGTTTTGACTTCTACGACTGGAGTGTGATTGCTAGTAATTATTCAGACTCCTAATCAGTGCAAATATTTTAGCTTATTTTTCTCCAACACCAGCATGCCTACTGGTTGGTTTGACCTCATTCACTCTGATCCCTGGAAGTGTTTCCCACATTGGTGGGTTCAAGTACATTTCTGCAAGCTACCTAAATTCTTAAAGCCTGCCAACGGCCTGCAGTTAAAGCATTACCACACACTAAAATGGTAAAAATAAATAATCATTCTTATATGTGGGATTTAAAGCTTCTGCAGGTGCTGTATAATGCATCTCCTCTTTTAATGGCCTTGAAAATAAGGCATAGAATTGTCTGACTTTAAGACAGAAAAATCCAGGGAGGTGCTGCTGCCATCATCATACTGACTGACAGCCTGCTGTATTGACCACTCAGCAAAATGGGCTGAACTGACAGCAATGTGCTGGCCACAGAAAATGCTGTTCCTACATTTATATAAATGCTGGATTCATTGTTAAAAGACCAGATGGGCGTACAGGCTCCTGGACTACCCAGATATGTATTGTTTAAGGAATGACCACGTGTGTTGACTAACTATGGGAACAGATGCAAATATTTAGGCAACAAGCCAATCGTATTGTCACACATGTACCTGCCCAAAGAGGGTTCCACATCTAGAGGAAAAATCCTTTCTGCCAGCAAAACCTATCCATTCAGTTACAATTCTCTGGGATTGTGAAAGTCTGGAGACTCTTATTCTGTGACTGTGAAAGTCTGGAGACTCTTACGCATCCTAATAGTCCTTTCCTTCTTTTTTTTTTTTTTTTTTTTTTTTTGAGATGGAGTTTCGCTCTTGTTGCCCAGGCTGGAGTGCAATGGCACGATCTCAGCTCATCACAACCTCCACCTCCCAGGTTCAAGCGATTCTCCTGCCTCAGCCTCCTGAGTAGTTGGAATTACAGGCATGCACCACCACGCCCAGCTAATTTTGTATTTTTTATTAGAGATGTGGTTTCTCCACGTTGATGAGGCTGATCTCAAACTCCTGACCTCAGGTGATACGTCTGCCTCTGCCACCCAAAGTGCTGGGATTATAGGCGTGAGCCACCATGCCCAGCCTAGTCCTCTGCTTCTACGTGTCTAATTTAAACTGTCACTGCCTGTGTTTGTGGTGTTTGTCCCAGCAGCATACTTGACAAGTTTCTTTTATGGGAAAGAGAAAGAAGAATATATTCAGAGAGAGCCATATAGAGGGCTTCAAAGTACCGGTAATTTTCCATTACTGTGCTGTGTAGTGAGCACACAGGAATTCATTTCACTTTTATCCTTTGAACTGAACAATAGCATAATATGTAATTTTTGGTATAAGTAATTTCCATAATATTTCATATTATTTAATATATGACAAGTCTACTCATACTGTTCCCAAACAGTGTACTGAAACACACTGGGGTGTCACAGAAAATTTACATGGGTGTTGTAGGATATTATTCAATTTTTAGGTAGACACAGATATACAATTTTGCACAACTGTGAGTGTGCAAACTATCAGCCTGATGAAGAATATAGTTTCAATATTAGATTGCTACATCCCTTCAATGATGTCATTTCTTTGGAAAGCTTGGTTTTCAGTAGTTATTGTGATAAAAGTTGGTAGTATGTAAAATCTATGTGTAACAGAAAATGAGAATAGGAATGTCCAATCTGATTACAAAATTTGAGAACTTGTTCAGTGCTCAAGTTCACCTGGTGTTAGTACATAAATATTTAATTTATTTGAGAGAATCTACATAATAAATGAAATACACATATATATCTTATTCATGTATATGAATATATGATATACCTTGTTTTTTTGCACTTTGCTTTATTGTGCTCTGCAGATACTGTGTTTTATACAAATTGGAGGTTTGTGACAACTTTACATCAAGCAAGGCTTTCGGGGCCATTTATCCAACAACATGAACTCACATCATATCTCTGTGTCACGTTAGGGTAATTCTGAGAAAATTTTAGACTTTTTCATTATTATTATATCTGTTGTAATGATCTATGATCTTTGATGTTACTATTGTAATTGTTTTGAAACACCACTAACCACACCCACATAAAACAACAAACTTAATTGATAAATGTTGTGGGTGTTCTGATTGCTCCACTGATTGGTCTCTCTCTTTTTCTCCTTGGGCCTCCCTATTCCCTGAGACACAAATATACTGAAATTAAGCCAATTTATAATTCTATAATGGCCTCTAAGTGTTCAAGTGAAAGACAGTTGAACATTTGTCACTTTATACAAGAACTAGTAATTATTACACTTGGTGAAGAAGACATATCGAAAGCTAAGATAGACCAAAAGCTGGGCCTCATGCACCAAACAGGTTGTGACTGCAAAAAAACCAAAAAAAAACGAAACAAAACAAAAAAACTTCCAGAAATGAAAGGTGCTACTCCAGTGAAAGCATAAATAATAAGAAAGTGAAACATCTTTGCTGCTGATATGGAGAAATTTTGAATGGTCTGGATAGATCAAACCAATCTCTACATTCCCTTAAGCCAAAGCCTAATCCAGAGCAAGACCCTAACTCTCTTGAATTCTATGAAGGCTGAGAGAAGGGAGGAAGTTGTGGAATAAAAATGTAATGCTAGCAGAGGTTTGTTCGTGAGGTTTAAGGAAAGAAGGCATCTCCAGAACATAAAAGTGCAAGGTGAAGCAACAAGTATTGATGGAAAAGCTGCAACAAGTTATCTAAAGATCTAAGTAAATTAATTGATGAAGGTGGTTACAATACACAATGGAGTTTCAATAGACACAAGAGCCTGCTGTTGGAAGAAGATGCAATGAGGACTTTGGAAGCTAGAGAGACTTTAATCCCTGGCTTCAACCCTTCAAAGGACAGAGTGACTCAATCTTATTAGGGGCTAGTGCACCTGGTAACTTTAAGTTAAAACCAAGCTTATTTACCATTCTGAAAGTCATACAGCCCTTAAGAATTATGCTGAATTTACTCTGCCTTTGTTGTATAAAAGCAGTGACAAAGCTTGAATGAAAGCACATCTGTTTACAGCCCAGTATGCTGAGTACATTCAGTCCACTGTTGAGACCTACTGCTCAGAAAAGCAAAAGAGCCCTGTTAAAAATTACTGTTCATTGACAATGCACCTGATCACCCAAGAACTCTGATGGAGATGGACAAGGAGATTAATGTTTACATGCCTGCTAATATGCCATCCATTCTACAGCCCATGGACCAAGCAGTGATCTTGACTTTCAAGTTTTATTATTCAAGAAATACATTTCACAAGGCTACTGCTGCCATAGATAGCAAGTTGCCTGATGGATCTGGGAAAAATAAAATGAAAACCTTCTGGAAAGGATTCACCATTCTAGAGGCCATTAAGAACATTTGTGATTCATAGGAGGAGGTCAAAATAGCAATATTAACAAAAGGTTGTAAGAAGTTGATTTCAACCCTAATGCATGACTCAGAGGGGTCCAAGACTTCAGTGGAGAAAGTCATTACATATGTGGTGAAAACCGCAAGAAAACTAGAAGTAGAAGTGGACCATGAAGACATAGGTGAATGGCTGCAATCTCATGATAACACTCGAATGAATGAGGAGTTGCTTCTTATGAATTAAAATAGAAAGTGGTTTCTTGAGGTGGTATCTACCTTGTGGTATCTACTCCTGCCGAAGATGCTGTTGTTGAAATAACAAAAAAAAATTAGAATTACATAAACGTAGTTGATAAAGCAGCAGCAGGGGTTTGAGAGAATAGACTCCCATTTTAAAGATGTTCAATTGTGGGTAAAATGCTATCAAAGAGTATCACCTGCTAATGATATTTTTTTGTGGGTGTGAATGTGTCAATTAATGTAACAAATTTTACTGCTGTCTTATTTAAAGAATTTGCCACAGCTAACCCAGCCTTCAGCCACCACCACCCTGATCAGTCAGTTTCCAACAACATCGAGGCAATACCTTCCACCAACAAAAATATTGTAACTCACTGAAAGCTCAGATGATTGTTAACATTGTTTAGCAATAAAGTATTTTTAATTAAGGTATGTACATTGTTGTTTTAGACATAATGCTATAACACATTTAATAGACAGCAGTGTAGCATAAACACAATTTTATATGCACTGGGATACAAAAAAATTATTACTCACTTTATTGCAATATTCACTTCATTGCAGTGGTCTGGAAGCGTATCTGAATATCTCAAAGGTATGCCTTTATTTTACTTATATATATGTGTATATGTGCACACACACAAACACACACATTTTTTGCTTAAGAGTGCTCTGAAAAAATTACTGAGACCCTAAAGATGCCTTCAATCCCTGGTATACTCTACTATAGGCACCATTTTATATTATGTAAATACAGAGATCTTGAATACTAGCGGGGATAAAAAAAGAAATAACCCATATAAACAAATATACAAAAAACTAGCCCACCACAGTGGCTCACAGCTGTAATCTCAGCACTTTGGGAGGTCAAGGTGGAAGGATTGCTTGAGCTCAGGAGTTTGAGACCAGTCTGTGCAACATAGTAAGAGCCCATCTCTACAAACAATGAAAAAATTAGGCAGGCATGGTGGTGTGCACCTGTGGTCTCAGATGCTTGGGAGGCTGAGGTGGGCAGATTGCATGGGCCCAGGAGGTCAAAGCTGCAGTAGGCTGTGATTGTCCCACTGCACTCCAGCCTGGGTGACCTTGTCTCAAAAATAAAATAAATTAAAAAAAAAATAAGAAAATAACTGAAAAAACATATTCTGCAGTGAATTAAAATAGAATCTTCTAATGAATGGCCGAGTCACTAGTTTAGATAGGATTCTACTATCACATATAATTGAAAATGCTGATGTATATCACAAACTTCAAATTTTTGTCTGAAATAATTAATTAATGGATGTTATTTTTAGAGTACTTCTAGGCATATTGAAAATTAAGGTCCAGAGTTCCTATATCTTTCCTCCCCCTTCCTCAGAGTTTCCCATATAATTAACATCTTGTGTGGGTGTAGTATATTTTTAATAATTAGTGAGAGACCAAATATTGATACACTGTTATTATCTAAAGCTTATATTTTACATTTAGATTCACTTTTTGTTTTGTACAGTCTGTGGGTTTTGAAAAACAAATTATGTCAGTATCCACTATTAGAATATTATTTTCTCCAAATTTGTGGCTTGTCTTTTCTGTCTCTTAACAGTATCTTTCACAAAGCAAATAATAATTTTAATGAAGTCAAAAGTACCATTTTTTTTTCTTTCATGTATGGTGCTTCTAGTTTGGCATCTAAAATTCATCACCAAGCCAAGGTCATCTAGAATTTCTCCTATGTTATATTTCAGAAGTTTTTGAGTCTCATATCTCACATTTAGGTCTTAGATTCATTTTGAGTTAATTTTTGAGAAAGGAGTAAGGCCAATGCTAAATGTTTCTTTTGAAGGGAGTACAACTGTTTTGAGCGGAGGCATGTGATGTTTAGTTGTTTATTTAAAAGAAATTTATTAAAAATAACATCTTTTTGCCATTGAATATCCTTCTTCTTTGTCAAAGATCAGTTGACTATTATTTGTGGGGATCTGTTTTTAGGCTCTCTATTCCATGATGCATGATTTATTTTTCTATTCTTTATCTAATATCACACTATAATAATCATAAGTTAATAATGATTCTTGAGGTTAGGTAGTGTTAGGCTGACTTTCTTATTCTTCTTCAGTATTGTATCACCTCTTCTGGTACTTTTGCCTTTCTATAAAAATTTCAGAATCAATTCGTCTATATTCATAAATTAACTTGCTGTGATTTGGTCAGGACTGCATTGAATTTATAGACGAGGTTGGAAAGATCTGGCATTGAGATTTTCTATCAATGAACATAAAATGCCTCTCCATTTATTTAGTTCTTTGATTTCTGTCATTGGTGTTTTGTAGATTTTCTCAAATAAATATTGAATTTTCTCAAATAAATCAGCTTGAATTTTTTTTCCTGAGTCTTTCAATTTTGGAGTTTTTTATTATTATTATTATTATTATTATTATTATTATTATTATTATTATTATTATTACAGAGGTAGGTCTAGCTTGGTCACCCAGGCTAGAGTACAGTGGCATCATTATAGCTCACTGCAACCTGGAAATCTTGGGCTCAAGTGATTCTCCCACCTCAGACTCCCAGTTAGCTAGGACTACAGGCATGTGCCACCATGTCTGGCTAATTTTTAAAAATTTTTTCTAGAGATGAAGTCTTCCTATGTTGCCAGGCTTGTCTCAAAATCCTGTCCTCAGGCAATCCTCTTGTCTTGGCCTCCCAAAGCACTGGGTAGAGCTCATTTAATAGTAGTGTGTCTTAATTTCAAATGAAAATTGCTCATTGCTGGCAAGTAGCTGATTTTTGTTTGTTTGTTGTTTTCTTTAATAATTTAAACTTTTATTTTAGATTCAGGGGATACACGTGCAGATTTATTACATGGGTATATTTGCATGATGCTGAGGTTTGGGGTATGATTGATCTGATCACAAGGTACTGAGCATATTACCCAATAGTTAGTTTTTAACCCTTGAATCACCCTTTCCCTACCTCTCCTGTCTAGTAGTCTCCAGTGTCTATTGTTGTCGTCTTTATGTCCACGAGTGCCCAATGTTTAGCTCCCACTTATAAGTGAGAGTATGTGGTATGTGATTTTTTGTTCCCACATTAATTTTCTTAGAATAATAGTCTCCAACTGCAACCATGCTGCTGCAAAAGACATTATTTCATCCTTTTTTAGGGTGGTGTAGCATTCCATGCTATATATAAACTACATATTCTTTATTTAATATACCTTTGATAGGCACCTTTTTTGATTCCATGTCTTTGCTATCATGAAAAATGCTGTGATGAACATGCCAGTGGATATGTCTTTTCTGTAGAGCAGTGTATATTATTTTGTATATATACTCAGTAATGGGATTGCAGGTCAAATTGTTGTTCTGTTTTAAGTTCTTTGAGAAACCTCCAAACTGCTTTCTACTGTGGCTGAACTTATTTACATTCCCACCAACAGTGTATAAATGTTCCCTTTTCTCTGCAGCCTCACCAGCATCTTTTTTAAAAAAAGACTATTTAATAATAGCCATTCTGACTGGTTTGAGATGGTATCTCATTGTCGTTTTGATTTGCATTTCTCTGATGATTAGTCATGTGGAGCTTTTTTTCATGTTTTTTGGCCACTTGTATATCTTCTTTTGAGAAATGTCTGTTCATGTCTTTTGCTTTTTTTTTGAAATTTTAGAATTCCTTTATTGAAAGATGCTTGCTGATCAATATTTGCAAATCATATATCTGATAAGGAAACTGTATCTAGAATATATAAGAACTCTTACAACTCAATAATAAAAGGACAAACAGAACAATTTTAAAATGTACAAAGAATTTGAATAGACATTTTCCCAAGGAAGATACACAAATGGCTAACAAGAACATGACATGATGCTCAACATCATTAGTCATCAGGGAAAAGAAAATCAAAACCACAGTGACACACCACCTCATTCCCACCAGGATAGCTATAACCACAATGTCAGACAATAACAAGTGTTATCAACGGTGTGGAGCAATTGGAACCCCCATATATTTTTGGTTAGAATGTAAAATGGTGCAGACACTGTGGAAGGCAGACTGGAAGTTCCTTAAATAGTTAAACACATAGTTATAAGATAAACCAGTAATTCTACTTCTGGGAATATACCCAAAGGAATTCAAAGGAGGGACTCAAACAAATATTTGTACACCACTGTTCAGAGCAGCATTATATAAAATAACCAAAAGTTGGAAACAACCCAAATGTCTATCAACTGATAAATGGATAAAATAGTATGGCACATTCACACAATGGAATATTATTTGGCCACAAAAAGGAATAAAGTACTGATTCATGTCACACACACACACACACACACACACACACACACACACACACACGCACAAAGGCTTTTAGTTTCAGGGGTACCTGTGCAGGTTTGTTATATAGGTAAATTTCATGACTCATGGGTTTAGTGTACAGATTATTTCAGATTATTTCATTACCAGGTAATAAGCATGGTACCTCACAGGTAGTTTTTCAATCCTCACCCTCCCCACTACCTTCTTCAAGTAGCCCCTGGTGTCTATTTTTCTCTTTTTGGCCTCCACGTGTAATCAGTGTTTAGCTCTCACTTGTAAGTGAGAACATAAGGTATTTGGTTTCCTGTTCCTGCATTAGTTCACTTAGTCTAATGGCCCTCCAGCTCCATCCATGTTGCTGCAAAGGACACAACTTCATTCTTTTTTATAGCAGCATAGTATTCCATGGTGTATATGTGCCAAATTTTCTTTATCCAATCCACTGTTGATGGGCATTTATGTTGACTCCATGTCTTTGCCATTGTGAATAGTGCTGTGATTAACATAATGTGAATGTGCTTAATGTGAATGGGCATGTGTCTTTCTGGTATCTTTTGCTCTTTATTAAAATGAAGTTATTTGTTGTTTGCTTGTTCAATTGTTATGTATCTTATAGATTCTGGATATTAGTCCTTTGTCAGATGCATAGTTTGCAAATGTTTTCTCCCATTCTGTAGGATAGTCTGTTTACTCTGTTGATAGTTTCTTTTGCTGTGTGTAAGCTCTTTTGTTTATTATGTCTCATTTGTCTTTTTGTGTTTTCTTCCGAGGACTTAGTCATAAAATATTTCCCAAGGATGATCTCCAGAATGGTGTTTCCTAGGTTTTCTTCTAGGATTCTTATAGCATGAAGTCTTACATTTATATCTTTAATTCCATCTTGAGTTAATTTTTACTCACGGTGAAAGATAGTGGTCTAGTTTCATTCTTCTGCATATCTCTAGTCAGCTCTCCTAGCACAATTTGTTGACTAGGGAGTTTTTTCCTCATTGCCTATTTTTGTGGATGTTGTAAAAGATCAAGTGGCTGTAGGTATGTGACTTTATTTCTAGGTTCTCTCTTCTGTTCCGTTGGTTGATGTTATGTTTCTGTACTAGTACCATGCTATTTTTGTTATTGTAGTATTATAATATTGTTTGAAGTCAGATCACATGATGCCTCTGGCTTGCTCTTTTTCCTTAGAATTGTTTGGGCTATTCTGGCTCTTTTTTTGGTTCCATATGAGTTTTAGAATGGTTTCTTTTATTTCTGAGAAAAATGACATTGACAGCTGATAAGAATAGCCCTGAATAAACATCTGGGATGTTTATTCATTTGTTTGTGTAATCTCTGATATCTTTGAGTAGGTTTTTGTAGTTCTCCTTGTAGGGCTCTTTCACCTCCTTTATTAGATGCATTCCTAACTATTGTTTTTTGTAGCTATTGTACATAGGATTGCATTCTTGATTTGGCTCTCAGCTTGAATGTTGTTGTATAGAAATACTACTTATTTTTGTACGTTGACTTTTGTGTCCTGAAACTTTTCTGAAGTCATTTATCAGTACTAGGAACCTTTGGCAGAATCTTTTTGGTTTTCTAGGTACAGAATCATATTGTCAGTGAAGAAAGTTAGTTTGACTTATTTTTCTATTTGGATACCTTTTATTTCTTTCTTTTGCCTGATTGCTCAGGATAGGACTTCCAACTTTCATATATTAATCTTTATTCTTCAACCATGCTATAATAGCTTATTAAATCCAACAGTTTTCTTCTGTTAATTCTTTGGGATATTCTACACAGCAATCATCATGTCATTTGTGAACAAAGACAGTTTTATTTCTACTTTCCCAATCTGTCTATCTTTATTTCCCCTTTTAAACATTTTATTTTACTTTTTTTGTTGATGTTGTCTTAGTATTGGCTACAATTTCCAATATGATGTGAATAGGAGTGGTCAGAGGTGACTTCCTTATCCTGTTCCTGATCTTAAGGGAAAAATATTCAGTTTCTCACCTTTAGGTATGATGCCAGCTGCAGGTTTTATGTAGGTGTTCTTTATGAAGTTGAGTAACTTTCTCTCTATTCCTAGGTTGCTGACAATTTTTATTGTGAATAGGTGCTGTATTTTGTCAAGTGCTTTTTTTGCATCTATTGATATGATCATATAATTTTTCTTCTTTAGTGCATTGATGTTATGGATTATATTACTGGATTTTTGCATGTTGAACCAGCCTTGCATACATGAAATAAATCCCACTTAGTTGTGGAGTATAATTCTTTTTATACATTTTTATTTGATTTGTTAATGTTTTATTGAGAATTGTTGCATCTAAGCTCATGAGGGATATTGGTCTGTAATTTTGTTTCTTGAATGTTTTTACCTGGTTTTGCTATTGTATTATGGTAATGTTGGCTTCATCAAGTGAGTTAGGAAGAAAGAGTTAGTTATAAGTTTCCTCTGCTTCTATTTTTTTGACATGATTGCAGAAATATGACTTGTGTCTTGTTTGTGGAATTCACCAATAAAAACAATAGGTCCTAGCAGTTTCTATTCTGCAACAATAAGAGTTAATGATTCATTTTTTAATAATATAGTTATATTTAGATGGTCTTTTTCTCCTTGCATGCATTTAATCAATTTTATTAATCTTTTCTTTTCGAAAAAAGTTTTCAAAGAAAAAAATCTCTTTTGCTTTTCTGTTATCAATTTCATTGATTTCTGCTACTTTAAAAAAATATATTTTCCCACTTGATCTATGTTTATGTCGTTCTTTCTTTCTCTAGTTTCCTGTGGTAGAAGCTTAAGCATTGATTTTAGATTTTTTTAAATGTTCCATAATATGCATTCAATGCCACAAATGTTTCCCTAAGTACTGTTCCCATTGTATCCATACATTTTCAAATATTATTTTTTAAATTTTCATTCAGTACAACTTTTTAAAATGTCTCTTGTGACTTTGCCTGTGACACATTTGGTATTAGAATTTGTGGTTTAATCTCTACATATTTTGGAAATTCCTATCTTTTTGTTATTGATTTCTAGACTAATTTCATTGCAGTCCCAGAGCATACTTTGTATGATTTTTGTTCTTTTAAATTTGTAGGTAAGTTTTATGCCAAGAATATGATCTGTTTTGATGAAGTTTTGTTTGAGTTTGAGCATAATATATATTCTGTCTGTTGCTGTATTTTATATACAGCAATTAGATATCATTGTTTGACGATACTATTTATTTAAACTATGTATTTGTTCATTTACTACCTGTTGAATCTTTCAATTACTAATAGGTAGTGAAATCTCCAACTATAAAAATGAGTTTATTTACTCCTCTTTGGGATTATAACAGTTTTTCCTTCATGTATTTTGATGCTCCATCTGAGATGAATGCAAATTAATGATTAGTATGTCACCTTGGAAAATCAACTCTTTTATGCAATCCACCTCTATATCCCGATAATTATCTTTGTAATATTTTGTAATTCTTGGTAATTCTCTCTAATTCTCTCTGTAAATTTCAGATACAGAGGCCACTCAATGTATCTGAAATTAATAAGCTACTCCAGCTTTTTCTACTTTTGTGTTAATATGGTGTACCCTTCACCATAAATGTTCTTTTAATTTGTATCTTTATATTTAAAATAGATTTCTTATAGACAACATAAAGTTGGGTCCTCTTTTTTTATCCAGTCTGTCAGTCTGTATTTTAATTAGTGTATTTAGAACATTCACTTCTAATGTGATTATTGATATATACATAATTGAATAATATCTACTATATTTGTAACTCTTCAATTGATTGCACTTAATATTTGCTTACTTTCTAAATCTTGTCCTCTTTTTCTGCCTTCTTTGGATTTAATTGAGCTTTATATATCATTTATATCATTTTATTTTTGTCTTATATCATTTGTATCATTTCATTTTTGTCTATTTTTGTTTTAAATTAATATTTTATATATAGTGTATATATATAGTGTGCATATGCATATATGTGTGTGTGTGTATATATATATAGTGTATATATATATAGTGTGTGTGTGTGTGTGTGTATATATATATATATATATATATATATATATATATATATATATATATATAGTGTCTCACTATGTTCCCTAGGCTTGTCTTGAACTCTTGGCCTCAAGTGATTCTTGCACTTCAACCTCTCAAGTAGCTGGGACTACAGGCCACCGTACCCAGCTAATATTTTGTTTAGAAAAGAATTATTTATAGATAGGGTCTTACTATATTGTCCAGGCTACTTGTCTCTTAACAGGTAATTGTGTTTCCTTTTTATTTTCCTTTATTGACTATCCTAGGTTTGAAGTATGCATTTAAGACTATTTTAAGCTCACTTTCAAATAACATTATACCACTTAACAGATAATACAAGTAACTTATAACAGACTATCCCCAATTCTACCCTTTTCCTTATAACATTGCTACTATTTATTTTATGTACTCATAAGCTGTAATTACCCCACATATCCTGCCATTACTATTTTGAACCGTTATTTATTCAATTTGTTGAGTAAGAGAAAGTAAATGTTCTATTTTACTTTTATTTATGCCTTATCTAATGATTTTTGTTTTTATGTAAATCTGAGTTTATAACACATATTATTTTCCTTCTCTCTGAAGAATTTCTCTACCATTTTTTTGCAAAGCAGGTCTATTGGTAACAAATTCTCAGTTTTTATTTGTCTGAGAAAATCTTACTTTTCTTTCACTTCTGAAGAATGACTGTTGGATATGGAATTGTAGGCTGGTAGTTTGTTTCCTTTAGCACTATAAATATTTCATTCCACCATTTGCCTTGCTTGAATGTTTTATGAAAAATTCTGATGTAATTCTTCTTCTTATGTTCTGTAGGTAAAATGTGTTATTTCCTTTAAAATCTTTCAACATTTTCTCTCTGTCTTTAATTATCTGCATTTTGAGTATGATGTACTCAGGTGTGGATTTTTTGGTATTTATCCTGCTTGGTGTTTTCTGAGTTTGCTGTATATGTGGCATAGAGTCTATCATCAATTTAGAGAAATTTTCATTCATATTGCTTTACTACTTCTTTCCGTTTTTCTCCTTCTTTTGGTAGTTCCATTACACATGTTACATCTTTTATAATTGTTCCATAGTTCTTGGATATTATGTTGTTGTTGTTGTTTACCCTTGTTATTTTCCTTTTTACATTTCAGTTTGCAATGTTTCTATTGACATATCTGCAAGCTTACTGATTCTTTCCTTGTCCGTGTACAGTCTACTGGTAAGCTGATCAAAAACATTCTTCATTTTTGATACATTATTTCTATTTTTTCAATTTCCTTTGATTCTTTATTAGTGTTTTTCTTCCACTTATTAGATTACCATGTGTTCTTGCATGTTATCTACCTTTTGCATGACAGACCTAAGCATATTAATCATAGTTATCTTATTTTATTTATTTTTTTGAGACAGAGTCTCACTGTGCCTCCCAGGCTAGGGTGCAGTGGCATGATCTTGGCTCACTGCTACCTCCTTCTCCTGGGTTCAAGAGATTCTCATGCTTCAGCCTCCTGAGTAGCTGGGACTACAGGCACGCACCATCATGCCCAGCCAGTTTTTTTTTTGTATTTTTAGTAGAGAAGGGGTTTCCCCATGTTGGTCAGGCTGGTCTCGAACTCCTGACTTCAAATGATCTGCCCACCTTGGCCTCCCAAAGTGCTGGGATTACAGGCTTGAGGCTCCATGGCCAGCCAATTATAGTCATTTTAAATTTCTATCTGATTACTCCAATATTTTTGCCATATGCAAGTCTAATTTTATATTTACTTTGTTTATTTAGATAGCGGTTTCTTTCTTGCCTTTTAGCATAACCTTTTTGAATGCTGGACATGACATTTTGGGTAAGAGGAACTTGAAGTCCATAGGTCTTTACTGTGAGATTTTTTAATTTATTTATTTGAATGGAATTTAGGCCTAGTTCAATGTGTGCGTCAGCTGTAGGTGTCAAGGGCTTCCACTTCTTCTAGTGTCCTTGTTTTGTCTCTGCTATTGACTTTGGGCTCCCCTAGAAACTCCTTAAATGGAATGTGTATCTGGCAGCTCTCTAAGTTGTTATTTACTGTTACTCAGTATATGAAGCTCTGTTGATGTGGTGGTAAGATACCAGGAAAGGAAAACATTCTATAATCTATGCTATTTATTTATTACTGGTGAGTCATAGTTCTTGTGCTGTGACTTTCATAATAGTTTCTTAGTTTTTTTTTTTCCCTCTCCTTGTGTAAAACAGGAGAGATAAAAGTTCACTAATTGATCTTTTCCAGGTTAAATATGGCATTCTGAATGTAGTTCTTTGAGAGTTAGCCTTTATTAAAATAAATAAATAAATAAAAAGAACACATGCTCTGGATGTATTTCAAAACGATGACTTTTCTTCTTTGCATATGTTACAATGGTTACCTTTTCCCATCTTCTTACAAAAAGTGTGATCAGATTTTTCTCAGATACTCACAGTGAGAACCTGATGGGGGTCCTGATAGTAAAACTCGTGAACGTGTGGGAACTACCTAGGACTGCACCCTCCGTAGTTTTTAACTCTCAAGTTAGTTCATAGTGAGCCTCCAGCAACTCATTAATCAGGGTGTTGGTATTCATGGTTGTATTGGTTCTGTCATTGGGCTTCTGCTCCTGGCAAGGTGTGATTCTCTATTTCTGCTTCTTTTTCAATTTTTCAGGTCATCAGTTTGCACTGACACTCCAATTCTCTGATGAATCTAAGAATAGTTGTTCCTTTTCAGTGTGTTTAGATTTTTTTCTTGTTGTAACAGGGGAGTGATGACTTCCAAGCCCTGCAAAAATCAAGAATCTAGAAGTTTGACAGACAATGATTACTCTTTTTAAGGGAAATCTAAATAAAGCAAGTGGTTTTGATGGTTTAAATTAAATGCCATAATTTCCATCATAATAAAGAGTTTCTTTTAATAAAAGGGGAAATATCCTGACTTAGCTAACAGCCTTATTGACTTTCATCATCATTTCTCAAGCTCCAGTTAAGGGTATAAAGTTCAATTATATAAATATTAAAAATAACAGTTAAAGAATATTAATGAATTGGTTTCTATGTGCCTGCTTTTGTAATAAGAACTTTGCATTCAGCACTTTACTAAGTCCACACAGCAGTTCTGAAAGATGTTAACAGCATCCTTAATTTTCAGGTGAGAAGAAAAGCCATACAGAGTTTACATTATTTAATGAAGGTCTCACAGGTCAGAGGTAATACAGATAGAGTTTGCATTAGATGAATCTTACTTCAAAGCCAGCTGTCTGATAATGCCTTTATGCCTTTTAAGTTTTATTTCCTCAATGTAAGATCAATCTATTGTTTACCTATTGATAAAGTTTGCTACATATATATATATAGATAGATAGATATAAAATTATAAATGAAACTAAGAAATATCCTGGGTGAAAGAAGCCAGGCAGAATAGACTACATACTTTATGGATTCATTTGTATGAGATTCTAGTTGGTAGTACCAGAAAGCGGATCAATGTTTACCTGGGCTGGTGAATGCAAGGATTGATAGAAAAGGGGATTTATTGAGGTTATACAAGAGAGTAATCTCCCATAGTTCATTGAAACTATATACTCACATTTTGGGCATTTTGTTATTTGTAAATTATACCATGATACAGCTAAATAAAATGTGATAATGAAAAATCTAAAGAAACATTACATAGATATTAGGCATATGAAAAGATACTCCACTTTACTAGGTGTGTTAGTCTGTTTTGCATTGCTATAAAGAAATACCAGAGAGTGAGTAATTTATAAGAAATGAGATTTGTATTGTCTTTTGGTTCTTCAGAATATATCACAAGCATCTGCTTGTGGAAAGGCCTCAAGAAACTTTTAGTCATGGAGAAAGGGAATAGTAGCCAACTAGTCATATGGTGAGAGAGCGAGCTAAGAGAGAGGAGGGAAGTCCCAGTCTTTTTAACAATCAGATCTCCTGTGATCTCATTACTGCAGGGAGGGCACCAAGCCATTCATGAGGGATCCACCCTCGTGACCTGAAAACCTCCCACTGGGCTCCACCTCCAACATTGGAGAGATTTCAACATGACATTTGGGGAGGACAAATATCCAAAGTATATTATTCGTATTTAGAAAAATACAATAGTGTACCATAACCAAATTGGCAAAGATTAAAATGTCTGAAAATAGCGATTGTGCACATGAATATGGATATCATAAACTCACATACTTGGCTCATGGGGAAGTTAATTGGTTCAATAGCTGTAGGCAATAGTTGATAGGATTTGGACAAGCCACACCCACAAGGTCACATGCAGTCAACCTGCTGGGTTCAAACCCCACTCATTTACTTAATATAAACTCTTGCCTTAATTTATTTGCAAACTGAGGATAATCATTAAAGCTATTTCTTGACAATCTTATGGGCACTAGGTTAGCTAATATATGTAGTATCTGTAAAGTGCTTAATACAATGCCTGGTTTAATCAGGGAAGTTTACACAGGAGATTCCACTTTTTATAAAACATTTTATTTTTGCTTTGTTTCTTTGAACAATATCTGAATTAAATAGGATCATGTTAAATTTTGTCAAGCATGTGTTGCATCACAAGTGTTCAGGTTGTTTTATTTGAATGGTTTAATATATAAACTGCAGCTTTTCTATACTAGTCCTAATCTGTTTACTTTTTTTTTCTTCTGACCCTGGTACTACTTGTATATATTGTCCCCCCGCTAAAACAATAAAACAATTTCAGCATAGGTTTAAAGCATATTTCACAAGAACAGACTTAGTTTACACACATGTGTATATCTTATTTTTATTTTATCATTTTATCAGCTGTGAATATTAAAGCCAAATTTATATTACTTAAACATTAATATAAAATGTTTAGTTCTTTGATAGTATTTAGCATCAATTTATTTTACAAGAATTTTGCCTTCATTATTTTTTGTAGACTTTTTTGTTTTGCTTAATTACCCGGTGTTTTAGCCAGGGTTAAGGATGAATAGCCTAGACTCAAGAATCTGGAGATAAGTTGCTTCTTTTGTAAGAGTTTAAATGTTGATTATGCTCATTATTTATATTCTCATCAAATTTCTATATATTTTCCTCCTTATTCTTGTGTCCCAGATTCCATTGTTTGTTATAATGTTTTGAAAAAAGCATTTTATCATTATATCATAAATCACTTCTGAAACATTTTCCAAAAATCAATGGACAAAATCATGTAATTTCAACATTTTTCTTAAAGGTAAATTGAGTTGTCAGACTAAATGATCTGGGAATTCAAAATTGAAAGCAGTATTGAGAGAGAGAGAAAGAGAATAGGTTGGAACTAATAAAATATTAGTTTACCAAAAAAAGGAGAGATTTTTCTGGTGTAAACTCTTTAATGAAGTTGAGCTTTAGAGCATTTAAATCTATCGCTGAAATGAGAATGAATGCAGCAATAAATAAGAACAAATAGTTGCTAAATAGATTTAAAACGAAAATGTATCTATTGACATTTCCTACATTGTAAACTCAGGTGGAGTGTTGTTAAGCTACCCGAAAGTTACTTTCTTCAAAGTACAATTTCACCCACATATATAGTATTTTTTTCTAGATGGTAGCATTATTGGTGAGGTTTATAATTTTTGAGCTTTAGATTTAACAATAGCATACAGTATTCTTGGAAAATTTTATTGTTAAAATGTACCTAATATCTTAAAATAACACAAAGTTTAGAATAAAATCAGATTCCATTTTTACGGTATACTCAACTCAAAAATAAAAAACAGATCCTTTTAGTTCCTAAAACTTGCCAGTTGTTGGAGGGAATAAAATAGTAAGAGTTCTTTTATATTCTATAAAGAATATATCATGGATAACTTCCATGTTAAATATACAGATTTAATGTATTTGGCTGAATAGTTACAAAGTACATTCAATCACAATTGTACAACACAGTGGTTAAGAATATGGGTTTTATAGTTTGCATTTCTGGGTACCAAGCATCCTAGCTGAGTGATCCAAAGCAAATTACCATGCCTTTCAGTGCATCAATTTCTCTATGTTCTAATGGGAGATTTTTTAAGTTTTTACTTACTCCCATGGGTTTGGTATGAGAACTAATAAATTAACCAATGTAACAAGCATAGTAAACTAATACAAAGTTAGTAATTGTTAAGTAAATATTACTTTATATTATTTAGATTTTTCATTGATAAACATGTAATTTGCATTCAAAAGTTTTATTTAAGCACATTTACTAAAATGTTAAATGGGGAGAGAAACTAAAAAATTTAAAACTGAAAACATGGAAACAATTTATTTTCACCACCTCGCTATATTCATTTTACAATTAAAACACAATTATGGTCCAACATTTCACAGCTACACAAAGAGTCAGTGAATAGGCCAGGATGCAATCTGAGATTCTTATCCCAGGGTCAGCATTCTTTCCACAAAACTTCTCTTATTTGTCTTTAGATTCTTTTTTTAATGTGTCATAGATCACAACACCCTTCTAAGAATGTATTTTAGAGCAGTAAATGATGAATAATTCATACAAGCATCAATTCTGCAAATATAAAATGCTTCAATTGATCGATATTATTTATTATTAATTAATCTTCATTTATAGAAGAATTTCTAGTTGACTAACCACTTGGTGATGACACTTTTGGACTGCCCAGAAAATATGGCAGATTCAGCACTGGGTTAGCCACACTACTACCTCTCCACACTCTCATTAAAATGTCAATCAACAAATAATATAGGCACATATTCACAAAGACAAATGAATGGGAGAGAAGACAGCTGTTGACTACCCATGCCAACAGAATTTTGGAAGATAGAGAAGAGATAATAACTAACATAATGGAGCAGATAAAGCCGAGTTCGTATGCTATGACTTTTACAAGAAACAATCAAGTATGCACAAGGAACAAAAGTTCCATGAACTGGAGATACATACACTTATGACAGTAGGACTTGAGGAATAGCACGAAGATTAGAAATTCATGAAAATCTATTTAATAAAATATATCCTCATACATGTGCAGTTGAAAGTCAGCTCTCCAAACAAATGGAAGATAGCAATTTTATTCTCTGGATAAACTGAACTTGGTAAGCTACAGGCTAGGGCACAAAGGAGGAGGTGTGGCTACATTCTAACAACAGTGTTTTGGGGATATGAGTAGTCCTAATAAAAACCAACGGCTTTTCCTGTCTGATTTTAGAACCATCTGAGATATAGACAGATGGAAATTAAAATACAAGCTTTATGATGAGTATAGATGAACCCAGACTACAGGTGATCTTTGAAGAACATAATGGTTGGGATTCTGACCTTCCACACAGTTGTAAATACATGTATAAATTTTGACTCCCTGAAAACTTAACTACTAATAACCTATTGATGTCTGGAGGCCTTAATAATAATATACAGTCGATTAAAACATATTTTGTATGTTTTATATATTATTTATGTTACAATAAAGAAAGCTAGAAAGAGGAAATGTTATTAAGGAAATTGTAAGGAAAAGAAAATACATTAACAGTACTGTACTGTACTGATCAATACCATAAGTTTACCTCATCTGTTTACAAGATGAATCCTGTCTGAAATGGTGGGCAATCACAGCTGCAGATCTCAATCTAAGATACATATGAAGCAATTCAACCTTTTTCTTGTAGTGTCATGACTTTTCTCTGCATCTTGGGAGCACTCCCAGTATCACTGGTGGCACTCCACATGGGTTCCATGGTGTTATTCAAGGTTTATGGTATTGCCCAAAATACGATGAAAAATACGCACTGCAACAGATCACTTTATGCTGCTATATGCAATTTACTGGAGAGGTGAAATGCTCACACAGAGATGATTAGCAATCTACATCATTTTAAGTGGACACTCCCAACACTTATGTTCACTGCAATAACAACAGTAGGTAGCTATGAAATTATTACAATACTACAGTATAGACTACAGTAAATGTTACAAAGTTATAATTTAACACTGCATTCTTATGTTTGTTTACATTTCTCTTGACTGTGAATGGTGCCATGTATGGTCTGTATTTGTGTAAGTTTTAATACATTTTAACTGTTTATAATAGATGTATATATATTTTATGGTAGTAAATGATAAACTAGATAGTATCAATATATATTTTATGCATTTGTAACATAATTAATTTTTCCTTAATCCTTTCAATGTTTCTGGGGTACTGCGTTCATCTAAAAGTTTTTTCAAATCTCTAAAAATTTTTAATATATTTATTGATAAAAATATCCATGTATAAGTGGACATGCTACGTTCAAACTCATGTTGTGCAAGGGTCAACTTTAATTGGTAAGATGTGCCTTTAGATTTGAAACATAAAGAGGCTTGCTAATTCTCCTAAGAATCACATTGACTTATCAACTCCGTTAGTCAGAACTGTGAAACTTTAGGCTTCCTCTGTAGACTTCTCCACTGGAAAAGTATGGCACAGAGAACCTCAGGTTGCATGTGGTCAGGCTGGCTCATCAAAGATGGGAAGAAGGAGTGGTGCTGAGCATACCCAGTTCCCTTTGATATACTTATTCATTAGGTAGCAGTGGGGAGAGAAGCCATAAAACACTCCTTTCCAGGGAAATCCACCCACAAGGCAGATTACGTAGAAGGAAAAGTACTGAACCACGAGACACACTCAGCCTCTTTCTGCTGTTCATTTCCCACCAGGCTGGCGTCCAGCATGGAGTAGCACCCTAAACCCCTACTTCCAGGCCACTTCAGATACTGGATTGGAAACTTTTCTTTAGGGAAATTCAATAACTCCAGTGAAAAATCTAGAGACGCCATTTTTATAACATTCTTTAAACATGGATATTCATTTCTCTCTTTTTTGGGGTGGGGGTGTTTGGTTTTGGTGTTATTTGTTTGTTTATTTCTTGACATTGAGAGCTGAATGAAAGCCTCAGGCTGAAACCCCTTCCTTTTGAACATGCATTGTCTTTTCTTCAACTGGTTGAAGTCTTTCTCCTGTTGTAGCTGTTGCTTGGCCTGCTAACTTTTCCCCATCCCCAAACCCTGCTTAGTTCAGGCTGTCATTATTCCTCACTTACAACTTTATGATAGCTTCCTTACCTGGGCTTTCTGCCACTAGAATTATCATTTCTGAAGACTTTGCGTTCTGTAGCTATTGATTCATTCAAGACCTGAATCTGTATCTGCAACTGTGAGATACTGACTACCATTTTCAAATCGCCCAGAAGGCCATTCTAAGTCCATTTATCATTTGTCTCTGCTTGTTTGTTTGCTTTCTTGCTTCATTTCTTTTCCTTATTTCAAAAGTAATACATTTTAATTACAGAAAAATATAGAAAGACAGGTTGCCAAAAAGAAGAAAATAAAATTATCTATATTAGCACCCTTCAGATGGAGGCGAATCACTTTAAACAGTTTGGCATGCATTTTTCCAGCAAAGTTCTGAATTTGCTTTTCTGCTACCTACACTGATTTCGTCAAAAGGGCCTATTTATCATGAAGACATATTGCTCTCATCATTCATTTGCTTTTTGCTTTGAAAATAGCATGGAAGTTTCAAGTATAGAATTCTTCGTGGTCAGAAATATGCAGGAAAACTAGATTAGTGAAATCATCTACCCTTCTTCAGTCACAATTCAATGCTGCAATCTGTGAGGTAATTTACTTAAAAATGCTGTACATTAGGAAATAAAATACGAAACATAAACATTTTATAAAATTCATAGGACATATCATTAATTAAGAGCATTAACCTAAAATAAAATAGAGAGTAGCTCTCACTGAAGGAAGTAATATTTTACATAAATTAGAAAACTAATCTCAATACCATTTAATCATTACACTAATTGACACAGTAAATTGACTATGGAAGTAACCAACAGAATATCTAAAACTAGAAAAATGTGTAAAATTTTTATTAACTAAAATTGAAACAAAAATCTATTCTTATTGACAAAACATATCTGAAAAACTATTTTCTATGGTCTGAGACTGTTGTCATCAATTTTACTTTTGGAATTTATGACACAATTGGGTGGAAAGAAACAAAACCACAGAAAGAACAATCAGCAAAATCGAAAATAAATAAATGTGGTCAATTAAGCAAATCTTTATTGTTAAATGTATCAGAAAATAACTCTTCCTGCCAACAATAATGCTTAAACTGTCCTTATTATAATATTGATCAAAGGACTACATTTGCTTAATTGGATTAGTAGCAGAAAATACCTTTTGAGAAAAATTCATCGATGTTGGCATAATTCAGTTAAAATCTTCACCAACAAAGTGGAAGTTAAAATATTCTGGGTCAAAAAAGCAGAAACTAAATGGTAGGGTCAAAATTTCTTATAGAAACTGTTTCCCCCTCACGTTGATTTGAAAGTATCATGTTGTAATCCATTGATAATCCATATGTTACAAATGCATGTAATCCATTTGTTCTCCAATTTTCTTTATTTAACAGTTATAAATAGATAAATATTGTTACATGTAATTACAAAGCTGATATATTGTACCTCTAATCATACTTATTCTAGACTGAAAATTTTTAGGTAAAATTTTTTCACAGTTTACATCTTAAAAAATAAGAATCCCTTATAGCTTAAGGAAGAAACCATAACTAATGGAATCAAAACTCTATGTTCCCTTCTCTGATCACATTCTCATAACTTGTTATAAACCAAACATACAACATACTTCTGATACGTTTCTTCCATTTGTGGCTGTTCAAGATTCCAGACAGACCTGAACTCAAGCCAGGTTCTGCCATTTTTTAGAGGCAGGATCTTTTTTAAGTTACTTAATTCTTATAGCTCATGGTTTCCTCAATGAAAAATTTAGGGAGTAATATTACCATATCATTTATGGTTCTGTGTGGACCAAGGAGATAATCCTTAAAATTACTCAGCACCAGGTTAGTATTTAATACATGTTACATGTGTAAGAAATTTTGATTTATTATTATTATCATTATTTTTAATAAAATTAGGATTAATGCCTAAATCCATACAAGGCCTTTCCCTTGGGATGGGTTTCAACTAGGAACTTAACAACCAAACAGCTGAAGCACTGGGAGTAAATATAAAACAATTCTAAAGTCACCCTTTATAAAAGGAACATAAAATTGCCATGCTAAATTATTTGTATAATGAGAAAATTTGGACATATTTTGTAACATTTTCCAAAGGCTTTAGTAATTAACTCAATTTAAGGCAGTTCAGGAGAAAAAAAAGTCTTTTGGAAGACAATGGTTATCAAATGAAGTGAAATATAACCTCCACTATCAGCACTGTTTTTATACCAGTGCAAGACAATTGATGAGAAATGACTTATTTTTCTGTGTTAGTACGACCAACGTGCAAAAATAGATGACGTATTATAGAGATATGTGTGCACAACACCCGTTCTATTTGAAATGATATCTGTACTCCTCTGTGTGTCATTTGCTTGTTTTTACACATTTTCCAAGATAACTAAGTCTAATTACACTTAACCATGGCTATGTTTGCTCAGATTCACATTAAAGAATAAACTTAATAAAAAAAGTATCACTGTATTTTTAGCCTGAATTAGAAATATTGAAAAATTACATTTTCAAGGTTTCCAAATGCAGAATATGTAAAACATGCAGGAATTATTATTATATAATCTAAAATAAACTATGCTCAAATAAGTGAAAAGCAGTGTTAGAACAGAAATAGTGTCAAAAAATATAGCAAGAATACTATTATTTTCTGAAGTAATTGGACTTGGGAATATATAATGTTAAATGTATTTTATCAGCAATTTACATAAAAGTATATGTATTTTTTATTTAAAAGTTTGACAGAATAGAAAATGGTGTTTAATTTTCAATTGCTTTGTTTTTAAGATTGTTCATTTATAAAAAGCAGCAGAGTATCATTTAGAAATTATGATGAATTTTCAGGTTTAGAGTCAGATGCAAACTCTAAAATTAAGTAGTTCCTGAGGATATCAATGATATGCACAGATCTCATCAAAAACATCTTTAACATCAAGGTACGGCTGTAATCAACATTACCGATCAATGCTTATTCTCTTACTTGGTGGAAGGTCAAAAAAGATGTGGGAAAATAACAATAGCAAAATACTTTTTCCTAGCTTCTATCTTGGCAAATAGCTAGTAGTCATAGTACATTTAAGCCTAAATACCTTTAGAATTGATGATATTTTTATTCTTAACTTGATTTCACAGAATCTCAACACGTACTTTGACACAAATGTGAATATAGCGTTCTCTACCTCTTCATTTTGCAGGTTCATTGATTCTGCAAGTCTCAGTCTAAAACTCACTTAATGCTTCAAAATTTTAAAGTTTTAAATATAAAAGTAATATAGTTGCTTTTGTATTTACTATTGTAGCACTATTCCAAAGAGGGGTTCTGTCCCTAAGTTTTCTCCCTTCCTCCAGATACATTTCAAAGAATATTTCCTTGTGATATTTGTCAGGTGAACATATGCATTTGCCCAGAGGATTTTCTCTCTGTCTCTATAGATATTACCTTTGGCATATCTGAAGACACTTTCTCATTTCTTTTAATCAAATTAGACTTAATATCAGAACATAGTCTCTCTTATAAAAATATGGAGATTGTGAGCACATCAAAAGTCACAGTGAAATTAAACTCACTGGCCATTTTTGTATTTAAAAAAATTTTGAGAAATCAATATTAGTCAACCAGTATTTTCTAGGCATTTTGTAGGTGAAAGTAATATGTGTAAACCCTGTGGAATAAAATGTTGTACAATCTGAGGGGAATTCAAAAAGTTTCTGGAAAATATGTATGATGAAAAAAACTATGCATAGATCTCAAAATGTTTTTGAACCAAAATAAACTTGCAGTAACTTGTTATAAGATATCTGAATAGGATCTACTTTAAGGCACTAAGAAGGATAAGACATCAGTTTGAAAAGAGTCCTCATCAGAGCAACACGAATTCTGCTAAAATTGGACCAAAAAAAACCCCATCAAACTTATAATGAAGCTTGGGTGGAAAAATGGTGAAATAATTAATGCTTTACAAAAATTTTATGGGAGTAATGACCCAAAGAAATCAACTGCTTCTCTGAAAGAATAACTATTTGTAAGATGGGATGAGATTATATTGAAGGTAAACCCCACTGGAGCAGGTTATCCACATCAATTGTTGAGGAAAAAGATTAATCTTGCTTGTGCCTTAATTGAAGAGGGTTTAGGATTAACAACAGAACCAATAGCCAACACTGTAGACATCTCGATTGATTTAGTTTACACAATTCTGACTGATAAATTAAAGTTGAGCAAACTTTCCATTATACAGTTGCCAAAACTGTTGCACCCAGAACAGCTGTAGATAGGAGCAGAGCCCTCAATGGAAATATTAAGTAAGTGGGATAAAGATTCTGAAGCAATTCTTTGAAGAATTGTAATGGGATATGAAACATGACTTTACTAGTATCATCCTGAAGACAAAACGCAACCAAAACAGTGGCTACCAAGAAATGGAAATAGTCCCAAAGCAAAAGCAGACCAGTTAAGACAAAGGTCATGACCTGTTTTAGGGAAGTTCAAGGCAACTTGCTTGTTGACTTTCTGGGGGGCAAAAAAGACCCACAATAACATCTGCTTATTATGAGAGTATTTTAATAAATTTAGCCAAAGATTTAGCAGAAAAATACCCAGAAAATCTTCACCAGAGAATTCTTCTCTACCACAAAAATTCTTCTACTCATTCTCTTCACCAAAGAAGGGAAATGTAGCTAAAGTTTTGATGGGAAATTATTAGGCATGTGCCTTGCAGTCCTAATTTAGCTCCTTCTGACTTATTTTTGTTTCCTAATCTTATAAAGTGTGTAAAGGGCACCCATTTTCTTCAGTTAATATTAAAAAAAATCTGCATTGGCAAAGAACCCTCAGTTCTTTAGGGATGGACTTAACGGCTATTGACCTTGACAGAACTTATGCTAAGAAATAAAGTTTATATTTATATTTTTATCTTTTAATTCCATTTTCCATGAACTTTTTGAAGTCCACTTATATATTCCCTGTATTAATTCAGTTTTAATTAGAGGTGGTTTGTGCATTTGTCTTTGGTGGGAAGTGTTGGCGTTAATAATGAGATATGGGCATAAGGAAGGTGAAGCTGCAACAATCTAATGTAGAATAGGAGGAAGTGCCAAAAGTGTGTGATCTCAGCTATATATGTGCTCTAGAAATTCAAAGAAGAAACTGAGTAAAGAGATTTGTTAAAATCTGAAGTAGACATTGCAAGAAAAGCTGTAAAATAAACTATAAGATTTAGAAAAGCTAACGAAGGTTGACTTGAGCAAATAAAAAGTGGAGGACTTATTTTTCACGTATTGGGTTCAGGTGCTTCAACAGGATGGCTTCATTCCCAGGCTCCCCATGGAAGTGAGATAGTTGCCTGCAAGATTGTGTCTACACCTACAGGTTGAATACTTTAGAAAAGAGAATGTCTCCTTCTTGAATAGCCCTTGCAAATATAGACAAGAATTAGCTCTGATTGGGCCAGGTGTTTGTCTTGAGATCAGTAACTATGGATAAAGAATGTTATGACCTGATTGCACTGGACAGAATCATAAAGCAGCTTTAACACATTGGTGTGGGATCAGAGCTACCTGAAAACCACCCCAACTGAAAAGAGGAGGACTGCTGATGGCAAACAAACAAACAAAAAATAATAAATATTTAGTATGCACAGGCTGATATATTATTGTGTAACACAACATTTATTTTCAGAAATTTACAGGGAATTCTTGCATAATTAAATAGCCAGCATTTTGCAGGTTCTACAAGAGATTATTATAAAATTTTCGATCACCAGTGTTTTCTCTAGGACTAATGATATTGCCATTTACTGCATGCTATTTATCATGCATTGTGCTTGGTGCCTTTTGTATGTCATGTCTAATCTGCAGTACACCTATTTCATTGAAAGCATGATATTGCGCCTTATTGCCTTGCAAATAATTCCAATTCTATTTCTAAGGCTCTATTTGAGTTCTAACATTTCTCACAGTGTTTTGTTTTATTCTGTGAATATCACCATTTTTTACTTTTACAACTTTTTATTTAGTTAGACTTCTGAAGAAGAATGTTTTATTCAACAATTTTCCCTCTAATATTCCAAATCTTAATATTTATTTTCCAGGATATATAGCAGACAGGATAATGACAAAATGCATGGAATCCGGAGTCAAATAGACCTGAGTCTAAGTCCCTGTTATGCAACAAAATAAGTACCAAAAAATTAAAACAAAGTAGACAGAAACGCTTTAGAAATAAACACAACGTTAAAATTATTTTTCACATTACTTTCAGTTATTATTTCTATTCTTTTTTTTCATTTTATAACTAGATTTCCCTGTCAACATTAGTAAACTATCTGCCCTACTATCAATGAGTTCGATTTTATATCCCTGGGCCTTCACTTCATCTGTAAAATGGGTTAGTGATGCTATGTAGTACGAATATGTTAATTACTTTATGTTTGTTATCTCATTTGTTCCTCCCTGTCAATTTTTACAAAAGAGAAGGTAGACATTCTGAGGGTTAAATGATGTGGCAAAAGTTACACCAGAGGTCAGAGTCTCATATTAAATTTAAGTTATAATTGTCTCTGAATCATTTTTGTATGCACATATAATAATTTACTTCAATATTTCTAAAATATATTTACAGGAGATTTCAAAAATATACTTGGTGATATTAGTCCTGGATGTTGACACAAAATGAGAAAGACGCAAACAAACAAGCAGACAAAATTAATGAATAATTAATAAATAAGTAAATAAATGATTGATGATGAAATGAACTAGGCAATATACATTTCCCCTTTTCTAATCTTCAACAGGGCATAATGGCAGTGCTACCAATTGCTCAAAGGCCAGAGATTCTTACCTGACTACATGAAAACCCCAGAAGTATCTTTTATTGACATTATGTAAGGTAGCTAGACGCAGATAAAACACTCTTTTCTCCCAGCATATTTTTCTCTAAATGCAATGAGGGTCTTGAAAATCTAAAAATGAATTATTTCAGTTTATTATTTTGTAGCTATACTTAGAATGACAACATCAGAAGAGTGGTTACTTTGCTCTGCAAAATACTGAAATAACCACTATTGCTGTTAAATGTTCCTTTTGATAGAGTGTATTCAACTTCAAATGCTAAAGACCCTAATATAATTTTCATTTCTTTATTCTCTCTTCACAATTTTGATACTATATAACACAATTGAAACAAAATTATAAACTATTTTCCAGTTCTTGATATTATCTGTATTATTTATTTTTCAAACAAAATTTGTTTTGTACAGTAAAATGAAGAGACAATTGCTCAGTAAGATTTTTTGATGAAATCATATGTCTTGAATTTGCATCTTTAATATCTATTAGCGAGGGTAGGAGAAATAGACATCTTTTGAAGTTGTTCATAGGAGATGAATTTATATATCTCTTTAGAAAACAATTTGCAATATTTTTCACAATATAATATTGCTTTAGTGTATTACTATGGACAGAGAACATATTGATTGAGGAATCCCACTTCTAGAAAAGTTTCTTAAAATAGTATATATAGAAGCATATTATTTGCGCCATAGTTAGTAATCATAAAATATTGGAAAAATCTGAATGTCCACCAATATGGAATTGAGTAAATAAATTATGATACATAGTTATAATGACAGACTATATAGCCATTAATAGAATAAAGCATCTCTACATGATTGTGAGGTGAAACAATCTAAACATATATTATTAAGTAACAGTAAGCAAGTTGTACATCCGCAGTAGAGCAAAATACCATTGAAATTAGTAAAGGAGTATACATACACATTTGTAGAGACACTGGATATTAATATATGGTAAAAGAATTTCTCTAAGAAGAGGAGTTGGTGGCAGAGGGGCAGGAAACTTTTTTTCACTTTATGTACTTCTGTAACTTTTAATTTTTTATCTTTACACAGAGTAAATATGCATTCTTTTTAGAGAAAGAATATCTGGCTAAAAACAAACATTTGTATGTAAACCCTTTGGGGAACTATACTATCTAGACAGCAAAAGTTATTTCTGAAAATCATATTTAGAAGAACTTCCTAAGATGAACATCTCAGAAAACTTCTACCAAAACGACAGAAAAGATAAATAATATGCAGACAGAAAGAAAAACATTTCTATAATCTTGCTAAAGAAACTAGCTCTTGAGATCAATGTGGGAAATTAGCGATGCTAGTTATAGTGCAGAATTGGAGCTGTCTTATTGATAATTTTGAATATTCATATTGAAAAGTTACCATATGTAATACATTCATTATACATGAGACAGACAAAGACGCAGCCAAAAAGCTTCAATATGCTGACATGACCCAATTTATTCAAGGTCACTCAGCCAGTCTGTGTTAAAATCAAAAATGAACTACGGCTCATAATGGAGCCCTCATTTTACTAGACTACATTCTCTGAGAGAAGTGAGTAGCATTCATCATGGTGACATATTACCCTTAGGCTAGACCACTGTAGTTTGGCATTCATAATAAAAGAGAAGCAGTAAAAGAAAACAAAAAAAAAAGAAAAATCCACTTATTCAAGTTAAGAGGATATCTCTTTTCCAGTAACTCCAAATTTACCAGTATACCTGTTTCTTCCCATGAGCCTGATACAATAAGTGGGAACAAGATGTAAGAGCAATATTTGGGGTAAGGACAGCATCTAGAATGGCAAATGAATTTCAGACTCCAACTCCACCCCACTTCACTCTCCAGACTAATTTCTGATTGACATTAACAAAATGCAAACATGCATTATAAAGACATTTTCTCACCTCCCTATTATTTGCATTATTTACTTATCACGAACAAAATGCATTTTAAAGGCAGAAATGTATAAAAGTTATTCAAGTCTGAATTCTTGTATTCTGAGTATGGTCCACACCTTCACTTATGACATTACTTATATGCAAAAATCAAATGCAAGCTTATTACAATAGACATATATTTTGCAGCTCCCAATGTTTAAATAAGTTTGAACAGTAATTGTATTTTTCAACAATCCCTTGGGAGGAAATAAAATATTGTTTCTTCTGATCTCTAACTGCAGGAAAAAAATGACTTTATTACTACTTTCCTTTGTTTCCTACAGTCTGTACTTTGACACTACATAAACTGAAACATTTTTACAAATAAATAAAAACACTTTTCCTTCATAGATATCTTTCTAGAAAGTCTAAGTTTGGGCAACATACACACACACAGGTACACACACAGGCACACACACACAGGCACACACTCCCTCGAATGAAATGGTCAAACCGAATAAATATTTGAAATATAGACAAAAATCTGAATCTTCTCTCCTTTCATATGAAGTAACTCATTTATATATGCATTGTTCTCGTCAAACCATCTTGGAATGTGGTATATACTACTAAAAAGCAAAGCTTTATTCTCCTTTGTGCTGACTCTATCCTTTCATTCGTTAATTCAAAAGGAGATCACAACAAATTTTTAGGCATTTTCTACAGTTAGCTCGTGTTGAACTAAAATTCCTGTATCTCTCCTATCTTTACTTAAATATACAATTAACTTATTGTTCCTGTTATTTCCTTTTGGCAAGCCAGCATAAGATTTTGTATTATTACCTGATATTTTATCTTCTTAAAATGGAAAATTATCTCAACCACTCAAACTTTTTTTGCATTTGATATTGTATTCCATCACCATTTATTTACAATATTCGTCACCTTGAAATTAGATAGACAAGCTATCAGTGTCTTCATCTGAGTCATTAATAAAATTTTTGATGTGCCAGAGCCAAATAAAAAGCCATCATATTCCAAAGTTAACATTAACATATATCCAACACTTGCAGACTCATCCATCTCTACTAGGAAATATTTCTATGCCTGGTTCAATAACATTTCTGGGCACTCTGTCAAATACCTTATTGACTTACAGAAGCACTGTGGCTTCTAATCTATGAGATCTGTTTGGGGATAGGTGCAATAAATAAATAGATTGTTGTAATTAATAATAATCAATGTGTTATTGTAATTAACATTTAGATGACAATAAATAGCTTAACATCCATTATTTTGTCATAATAACATTTTCACTAATTCTAAGCAAAATTATGAGAAAATAATAATACCACATATCCTGTTCCAGGCCTCTTTACCATCTTACTTTTTTGCATCATCTACTTATGTTCAAATTTCTATGCCTTGTTTACTTTATGCCAGAATTTTGAATCTCATAAACTAATTAAATTTAAAAATAATAGAGATTCCAGTAACAATAAGTTGCCAGCTTTGTATTTTTCAAGTAAAGAGAATAAAAATAAATCAACTCAATTATGATTGCTTTCATTTAATGAAATAAATATTTTTTATTAAAAACTAGAAAAACAATCTCAGAACATGAAAACATACACAAATTTACCTTTATGAAAACTAATCACATTTGTTTATTTATTTTTCATTGACTCAAGAAAATATTTCCATAAACCATTTTTTGGCAATTACTGATCTAGACTTTGTTGTCAGTCAACAGAAAAAGAAACATTCCATTTGCTCAAAACACATCCTGAAAAACTGCTATGTCAGGAATTGTGATAGGTGCTAGAGGGATGGAGATTTTGATAAGATATGCTTAGCTGGGGAGAAGTAACAGACGGGCAAACTGAAAATCAATTGCAATATAGAATAATGTTAAGTCTATGTCAGTGTCAACATAGGGTGCTATAAGCAGAGAGTAAGGACTACCATTTTGATTAAAGGATCGAGTGAAGTGTTCCAAGATAAAGTGAGGGCCAAGCTAAAATCTAAGTTATGATGACAATAATGACTATGATTATGATGACAGTAGCAATCAGGAAGGAGGGAAAAGATGCAGAGAAGAAAAGATTGTTCAGATATTGGTAACAAGTAGTGAGACCAAGCACTGAGAAATACATTGGAATTTTGCAGTAACCTAGTTTATTATAAAGCACAGAATCCCGGAATAGGATTGATGAGATGTGAGAATAGAAACATGACTGAATTTGCTGAAGATAACAATGCGTACTTTCTATTTAGTTTCTACATGGCACTACAGCCATTCTTCATTTAAATTAATTTCATTCTTACACTTTTATTATAGTTAAGAACTTGTAAAACAGCAGTCTATCTTGTGAGAGAGAGACAGAAACTCATTTAATCTTCAGAATATCTATAAAGTAGGTGTGTTATTATGGCAAAACCAAGGCCCAAAGATAGAAAGATGCTACTAACTCGTTCAAATGATACAGCTGGTAAATGGTAGAACCTGGGTTGAAACCCAGTCATGTTCTAGAATCTCAGCTTTCAAACATCACATTAGGCCATAAGAAATACATAGTATCTCCATTCTAAGATTTAAGAACTCATTTAAAAGCCCAACATTACTAAGTACAGAAAGTTCTAAAATTTAGGAACTCAGTTAAAAGCCCAAGATTAATAGGTCCAGTTAAAAGCCCATGATTTTAATGGACCTCAACTTCTGTGTTCTACAACTATGAGAAAGTAGCTCTGAACATTCTGAAGCCAGACTGACAGTGTTCACGTCTCAACTCAACTGCTTATTAACTGTGCCAGCCTGTAAAATTTCTCAGCCCTCCTATGAGTCAATTTCTTCATCTACAAAAAAATCAATAGTAAAACACTTGCTGTGTAGGGTTGTTTTATGCATAAATAAGTTACTTTTAAAGATAATTTAGAAGAATGCCTAGAATGATTGATAACGCCCAGTAAGAGTATCTATTACAATATTGTTTTACACTGCTTCCTGAAGAACGGCAGGCTCTGCAATCATTCATTGTGATTATGTACACTTTTACAGATGTATGATCAAAGAAACCATTTTTTAATATAAAACCACTCCTGAATACATTAAAAGAGCAAGTTGATCATTTGACTGGCTATAGATCAATTCAAATATTAAGTTTTAAAATTAAATTATTAATTTATGTGTTTTGTTATTTTTTCTTTCTGTGTTTCATTGTTTAGATTTAAGATATTCAGGTATTAGTTTTAGCTAAAGGGGAATTTTAAGTGATGCCCTGTCTCTGCTGCTTATAGCTCTCAGATATGTGGCTTACTTTTCAAGAAGAAACCGGAGTCTCCAATTAGAGCAATATGACCTGTCAGACAAATGAACCATTTGCTGATTTCAGCAATAAGATGTTCTCAACTGATTTTGTTGTCACTTTTTCTTTTCTCCCTTATTTTAAGACTCCTTAACGAATTCAATGCAACAAAAAAAGTCAGCTGAAATTTGATGAGAAAAAATAAAGTAAGTTACTTCCCACGCAAATAAAATCTTAAACTTCACTAAATTTTATATCAACATTATCAGGTATAATTTATTTTCTAAGCCACCCTATAACCTCATAAACCTGTCTTTCACACATTATATCAATATCCACAGATTTATGGATTGATTGCCTCTCTATTTTTTTCCTACAGTTTAATTTAGAAGTCAGGCAAATCCTGGGGTTTATTAAGTATCACAGAAGCTAGATAAATTATGTTATGAATTGCTTAAAACTTTAAGAACTATCAAGCCTAGTACATTTCAAATGTAACTAAATTTTATGAAATATTGTCAATGTTGGCTTACCAAGTGCCTGACAATGGATGTGAATGCCACACACAATGGGCAAAAGATGTATTCCCAGTTAGCTGGGAAGAAATAAAAATAATTCAAGAAGTACACTAACAGTTAACATATTTTTAATAACAAGGAAAGAATATAATGATAGCCTTTCTTACAGATCAGGAGTTCGAGACCAGCCTGTCCAGTATGGTGAAACCCCATCTCTACTGAAAAATACAAAAATTAGCCAGGCGTGGTGGCACGTGCCTATAGATCCAGCTACTCGGGAGGTTGAGGCAGGAGAATCGCTGGAACCCAGGAGGCAGAGGTTGCAGTGAGCCGAGATTGTGCCACTGCACTCCAGCTGGGGCGAGAGATTGAGACTCCCACTCAAAAAAAAAAAAAAAAAAAAAAAAAGAAAAGAAAAAAAAAAGAAATAGAGCACATCTAACTTGAATCTGCTCATCTATATATCCACCCACTCAAACAAAAAAATCTTTATGTAACATTGATTATGTGTCAGGTGTATGTTGGACACTAGCAATACACAGAATAATAAAAAAAAGCACCTGCCCTGAAGTAACAATTATATTTCCACTATTTTATAAATCTGAAATTCAAATGATCACTTTACCTAATATCCAATTATACTTAATTCAACTAGCAATAGTCAAAGTATTTATTGGTTGATATCAGTTAATCTTTAAATAATATTTATTCTTCTTTTAAAAAGATTATATAAAGTTAAATCCATTGACTTTTTAATAAAATTATGCCTCTTTCAGGTTAACAAATACACGCTTAAAAACTTGGTATCAGTAGTTTGACCTTCCGTATGTCCAGGATCAGGAGTTATTACCAGTTAATTATATAATTCTTGGCTAATGGGGAAATGAATTGAGTGTCTCCTCTTTTGTATGGGCAGTTGTTTTTCCCTTTAGAAGAAAATCTTATTCTCAATTAGAAGCTATCAGATAAGTCATTTCCAAGGTGAAGTATGGCTAAATGCATGCATTAGCATTACAAACTGCTCAATAGAATTTTCTAGATAAAGTCCTTGCTCCTAAATTACAATGTTCTTTCGGCTTCTGCACTGAAGCCAACATTTTCTCCTTATGCATATAAAAGAAAACAGCAGTTAATATGATATGCTGGGTAAAATACTCCTGTTGTCATCATCTATAAGTGTCACCTTTTTAAAATGTCCTTTTGCACTCATCTGACAGGAGTAGCCATTTAAGAATATTTTAGAGAATTGTAATTAACCCTTCTTTTCATTTCCTTAAAGAAATTTATTTTAGAAAGTATTTCAAGATGGCTTTTCTTTTCAAAAGGAGAAACTCAAAAGCATCTGAATGAATTAGAGGGCTACATAATCATTATCTACAAAAATGGAGATTTAGATATGCCATTTCATTCACTGTAAATTATGTCTCTGTGATTTGTCTGGAAAGGAAATTGCTCATCAATTTAAGATTATGTTTGCCCCTCTTATAGAGACAAGTAGAGACACATATGCTACATTAGAGATGAAGTAGGACAGGAAACCCAAAAATTTTATTATAAGCCCCATATTGAATTTAATAGGACAGTCGTGCATGGCATAAATGAGATTTGAATGCTTTTTGAATACAGGCACTTTTTTTTCTTTTATGACATTGCAAACGAATAGTTTATGCATCAATTGCTATGGGATGATTTAGACAGTTGAGAAAAATGTTCACGATTATCTTAACATGGCATTCAATTGTGTCAGCTCTCTTTCAACAAAAAGCATTTGTGTTTCTACATCCAGAGAAATAACAGGGCAATTTTTCTCATCATGAGAACTGGAACTGTTTTCTCTAATGTTACAAAAGAAATGTTTATCTTGCTCTGAACCACTGCACTAACTGCAAATAGGTAGAGTAAGTTTCTACTATTTATTACTCAGAGAAGGAGAATATGCTGGCAAACGTGTCCCTCCTTCATCAGTTACCTCCATTAGGAGGAGCTCTAACAATATTTGGCCTAGCTGGGTTTAACTTGGCAAGCGTTAGAAGCTACTCATTTTCACAGTGCTGCAAAACATACTGAATTTTAAAACCCAGAACACACACATTTTCTGTCATTTCTTTCTCCATGTAACTGCAAAGTGTTTATCTCAGAGTCTACACACTTCTTTGGTTCCGTTGAAACATGCTAAGAGGGCTTCTTCAAGCACATTCAGCTCAACAAAGTACTAAGTCTACTTTTCAAAAGCACTTAGAGATGGTGTTGGAAAATTACAGCTTAAAAAGAAGACGAGAAATCTAAGAAGCAAGCTAAGCAGGGGACAACTTACAATAATTGTATGCAAATACATTTTCAAATTTAGTTCTGATTTTCATATAATGCAATAATTAATACAATATTTTGAACTCATCAGGTACTGAAACTGTTCTAAGAATTTGCCATAACTTACTTATTTCTAAGTAATTTATGATGTATCTAAAATTCAGAAAGTTAAGTAAAAAAAGTCTCACATGAGTGAAGACATAATAATTGGTCCAAAACCTGGGAGATCAGAACACTGGCTGCAGGGAAATTGACAGAAAGAGATTTGAAATTGTTCAGAACAAGAAGTGACAGTCTTGAGAGAGGACTGCTTCTGAAGGAGGACCAGGCATACCTTGGAAACTAGGAGGCAAAGGGAATGAATAAAACAGATAGTAGAAATTAAAGTTCCCTAGGGCTGGGCACAGTGGCTACCACCTGTAATCACAGGGTTTGGAAGGCTGAGGTGGGTGGATTGCTTGAGTCCAGGAGTTCCAGACCAGCATGGGCAACATGGCACAACCCCATCTCTATTAAAAAGAAAAAAAGAAATTAAAGTTGCCACAAAACAAAAGAAAAAAAATAAAAAAAATCAACAACATACCTAATATCCTCTACTAAAATAAACACTGCCTATTAAAGATACTACACTTCACTGTATAGCTGATTAAGGCGGTTCTGAAATTGGGAACTTAGTGAATTACCCTTTACTTTCATTAGAACACTACAACAAATTGCCATTGATAGTGTTTTTACTCTGGACTATCACACGTGTTTTATCAGCCTGAAACACTTTCTGCAATTGCTTCCAGATGGAAAACCTTACTTATCTTTTTATATTAGCCCGAGTATCATTTCCTTTCTTCCTCTGCTGCCAAATTTTATGTGACTTTCTATGTGATCCTGTGGTAGTATATATTTTCCCATCCTCGTTCTTGCCACACTGCATTGCAGCTGTCTTCTTACCCCTCTCTCTTTCCCCATTAGGCTGTAAGACCCTTGAGTGCAGAAGCCACACCTTTTTTATTTACTGATTTTGGCCCCAGTGCCTGGTAGGCACACTAAATATTGTTTGAAAAAACTAATGATGTCCTAAGTTAGTAAAGTGTAAAGATTCATCAATGAATATCAAGTGCAAAGAATCTCATGTTTCAAATTCCCAGAGAAGGTTTGATCAAAGTATATGATAAATATAAGCACACATGGAAGAGGTACTGAGCTAGAAAAACAGTGCATTTAAAAATTTGTTCCATATCATTGGAAATTTGCTTGGAGCTAAAAACAACACAGTAGATAAGTTAGTATTAATTAAACTACTTTCTGGTACAATAGAGTTTAACTTTAATTAGGTTTTGTTTTCCTCGTCTGATAATAACCTAATTTGTCTTCTTCTCTCACCTTTCTTTTTTCACCAAAATTTCATGCGACCTATTAACTACAACACAATAACTTAAAATGCATCTTGTGGTGTTAATTTCAAATTTAACAAGTTTATGTTACTGAAGATCTTTAAGTACAGTAGTCCTCTTATTTATGGAGGATACAGTCCAAGGCCCCCAGTGGGTGCCTGAAAGGACAGGTAATGTCATACTATGTGTTTTTTTTTTTGTCTTATACATACATACCTATGATAAAGTTTAGTTTATATATTAGGCACAGCAAGAGACTAACAACAATAACAATAAATTAGAACAATTATAACAACATAATGTGATAAAAGTTATGTGAATGTGGTCTTTTTCTCTCTCTCTCAAAAGATCTTATTAACCATACTCACTTATTTTTTGGATCACAGGTGACTGTAGGAATCTGAAAGTGTGGAAGGTGAAACCATGGATAAGAGGGGATTACTGTATCATTGACTTAAAAGTTCAATAGACATGAACCTCTAGGTTTCATTAAAAAATCAAACGTGGGAGAAACAATATAGGCGTTTTGAATTTATTAAATTGAAGTATATTTGCAAAGAAAATAGCATTCAAATTCCAACACTTCTACTCATGCATGTAAATATAACACAACCACCATGATTCTGTAAAAAGCAACTCTAGGTTGCTCTTTTTTAGGAACACTAAATATTGTTAAAAGAAATTAATGATGTCTTAAATTACTAAAGTGTAAAGACTGATCAATGAATATCAAGTACAAAGAATCCCATGTTTCTAATTCTCAGGGAATGTTTGACTGAAATATATGATAAACTTAAGCAACTCTAGGTTGCTTTTGGTAGAAAATATTTGCTAAAAGACACCATAGTATTTCTTAGTTACAAAAATCATGTTAGTCATAACACCATGACCCTGTACCCCCAAATATTTTCAACTTGCATTTTAAATGTCTCAGCATTTTTCGTCTACTATATGTACTCAAATTATTTTTAAACATTTTATTTAAATAACTATAGATTCATAAATAATTGAAATAAAGCACAGAAAATTCTTATGTACCTTTCACCCAGTTTCACCCAATGGATACATCTTATATCATATAAAAATGAGGAAGTTCACATTGGTATAATTTGTATATACAGTTCTTTATTATTTTATCATTTGTAATTTGTGTAGCCATCACTACAATCAAGACACAAAGCTATTTCATCACCACAAAGATGTCCCTGGTACTACCATTTTGTACACACTCAAGCCCTCTCCCTACCCCATCCCTGAACTATGGCAATTGCTAATCAGCTTCCCTCTATATAATTTTGTAATTCTGAGAATGTTATGTAATGAAATTATAGAGTATTTGACCTTTTGAGAGTGTCTTTTTTTTCATCAGCATGATGCCCTTGAGATCTATCAACTTGTTTGAATCAAGTTTGTTCTTTTTTCTTGCTCAACAGTTTTCAAAGTATAGATTCATCAAAGTTTGTTTAAACATTTGCCCATTGAGAGGCATTTTGGTTATTTTCAGGTTTTTACTATTACATATAAAGCTGCTATGATAGGCTTCTGCAGAATTTTGAGCGTATGTAATTTTTTTTTAATCTGCTTTGTATCCTCTAGGGCATTTATCATAGTTTTTATTTTTCTAGGATAAATGCCCAAGAGTGCTATTGCTGGGTTTTATGGTAAGTATGTTTATTTTTATAAGAAACTCCCAAATTATTTCCTAGAGTGACTGTACCATTTTACATTCCCACAGCAATGTATGTCATATCTATTTTCTTTGTAACCTATCCAGCATTTGGTATTTTCATTATGCTTTATTTTTGCTGTTCTGTATCTTTCAGTAATACCACTTTGTATTTCTAATTTGCATTATCCTAATGGCCAGTGATGTTGAACATCTTATGTGCATTTTTGACCTCTATATATCCTCTTCAGTGAAATGCCTTTTCATGTCTTTTGCTCATTTTGTAATTGGATTTTTTTTTAAATTATTGAGTCTTAAGAGTATTTTATATACTTTGGTTCCTAGTCCTTTGCCAGACATATGGTTTGCAAATATCTTCTCTCAGTCTGTAATTTGTCTTTTTATCCTGTGATTAGAATTTTTTTTGCACAGCAAAAGGTTTTAATTTTGATAAATTCCAACTTATTGATTTCTTCTTTTAGAAATCATGTTTTCAGTGTCATGATTACACCCTATGTCCCTAAGTTAAGCCTAATTAAGACCTATGTCCCAAAGTTTTTCTACAGCACAATCTTTTAAACTTTTATAGTTTTTGATTTTCATTTTTATTATTATTTATTTATTTATTTGAGATGGAGTCTCGCTCTTGTTACCCAGGCTGGAGTACAGTGGAGTGATCTTGGCTCACTGCAACCTCCGCCTCCTGGTTTCAAGCAAGTCTCCTGCCTCAGGCCCCTGAGTAGCTGGGATTACAGGTGCACACCATCAGGCCCGGCTAATTTTTGTAATTTTAGTAGAGACGGGGTTTCACCATGTTGGCCAGGCTGGTCTCGAACTTCTGACCTCAGGTGATCCACCCACCTCGGCCTCCCAAAGAGCTGGGATTACAGGCGTGAGCCACCCCGCCCGGCCCTCATTTTTTTTTCCTTTTCTTGCCTATGGATATACAATTAGCCAGGCGCAATTTGTTGAAAACATATTGTTTCACTGAATTGCTTTTGCAAATTTGTAAAACATTCAGTTGGTTGTACGTGTATGAAAATACTTCTGGGTTCTCTAGTTTGTTGTTTTGTTCAATGTGTTCATCTCTGACAATATTATATAGTCTTGATTACTCCAGCTATATAATAAGTCTGGAAATGGAATAGACTGATTCATTTGATTTTCTTTTATCTTAGAAAAGTTTCAGTGATGTCATTTTTAATTTCAAATAAATTTTAGAAGAATCTTGTCTATATCTACACAAATTTCCCTGAGATGTTGAAAGGAACTGTGATAAATCTATGCATCAATGTAAGGAGCATTTGCTTCGTAGCTATGTTGAATCTTTGAAACAATGAGCATGGATTGTCTTTTATTTATATCTTCTGTGGTTTTATATCTTCTGTGGTTCTTTTGATTAGCATTTTGTAGTCTTCAACATGTAATCCTCTACATGTTTGTTAGATGTACACCTAATTATTTCATTTTTGAGTAATTTTAAATGGTATTATAGTTATAATCTATATGTCCTCATTTTCATTGCTAGTACATGATTTTTCTATAGTAATCGTATATCCTGCCAACTTGCTGAACTCAGTTTTTAATTTTAAGAGGGGTTTCTGTTGCTGTTTTTAGATTTTTTGGGTTATTGTATGCAGACCATTGGGAATTAGGGGCTGTTTTCTTTCGTTTTTATGATCTGAATACATGGACTAGAACTTCTAGTGCTATGTTGAATAGCAGTGGTGAAAGTGGGCATCCCTAAATGTTCCCAATCTGAGGGCAGAAGCATTCAGTCTTTCACCATTAAGTATAAGGTAATATACTTTATCATGCTAAGTAGTGCTACCACCGTGGTGAATGGAATAGACATGGGCCAAGTGGTAAGCCAGCTAATATATGCTTGTGAGAATTGATTACTACCCTTTCAAACATTTTGCGAGGCAGCTGACATCATGTTAGTGGCTTCATTTTAGCCAAGATGACAGTATTAATAGCATGTAAATTGGCAAGCACCATGATATGGTTTGGATCTGTGTTCCTGCCCAAATCTCATGTCCAGTTGTAATTCCCAGTGTTGGATATGGAGCCTGGTGAGAGGTGATTGGATCTTGGGGGTGGGCCTTCATGAATGATTTAACACCATCTCCTTGGTCTCCTTGGTGCTGTTCTAGTGAGTGAGTTATCAAGAGATCTGGTTGTTTAAAAGTGTGTGGCACCTCCCCCATCTCCCTCTTGCTCCAGCTCCTGCCAGTTAAGACATGCTGGCTTCTCCATCATGGCTTTCCGTCATGATTCTAAATTTCTGAAGGCCTCCCCAGAAGCCACGCAGATGTCAGCCTCATGCTTCCTGTACAGCTTACAGAACCCTGAACCAATTTAATCTCTTTTATTTATAAACTACCCAGTCTCATGCATGTTTTTATAGCAATGCAAGATGGGACTAACACACACCACAAATCAAAAATTTGTTGAGGCCCATTGTAAAACATTTACCAGTACTTACAAACATTTACCAATATGTTACTATGTGGATACTTGTTTTAATAAAAGTGTGGATCAATGTAGAAGGCAGACGGAAACAAGTAAATTTATAATTGTAAAATAAGAAAATTGTAGAGAGGAAAGGAGAAGAGTAGTGTGATAGGGAAAAACAATAAAGACTTCTTAGAAGAGACATTTGATTTGAGATCTGAAAGCTGAGAAAGAAAATCATGTGTGGGTTTGGATATGATTGTGAGTTAGAGGAGTACATCAGTTTGAATGTGAGAATGTTTCAGGAGGAAAAAACAGCAGTAAGTTAAGGGATGGGGGGATCTTGGAAATTCTGAGGAAAAGAAAGGAGGCTGGTATTCCAAGACAATAGTCAATGAGGGTTAAAGTGGCATAGAATGTGGTTGGAAGGGAAAACCAGGTCAGATCTTACACTACATGCAGTGGAAAGCTCATTGAAATTCTTCAACTTGGGATGACATGATACAATTTACATTTTAGAAGATCCTTTTGTGCTGCTGTGTGGATTATCTGTGAGCAAGATTGAAAGCAAGGGTATCATTTAGGGTAATATTAACAGAGGTTCTCTTGGTGAGACTTGATGGTATTTTGACCTACACTACTAAGATTAGAGGTTTAGAGGATTGGATGTTAAACACAGAGAGAATTTGGAGATAGTTTGGATGGATGTGTGTGATAGGAGGAAGTATATACTTTTTTATTTTTGTATTTTATAATTAGTGTAACTATTTGTATATTTTTTCTAACTGTAGATGAGTAGATTGTACATGTAGGGTGAACAAGAACATCAGCTCTGAACTCAGTCTGTCTGGTTTGAAATCCTCCCTGTGGTACTTATTGTTCATTGGAATTTCAGAGGTAATTTAATCTCGATGTGATTCACTTTTTCTTCTTGGGAAGATAAGAGTGCTAATACTATAATACTACCTATCATGTGGGTTACTGGGAGGATTAAGTGAAAATTCAGCTAATGTTTTTAACAGAGGCTTGTATTTAGTATTTAGTGAAATGAAGTATATTAGAGAAAAGCATTTATTAAACATATGAGAAGTTACCACCAATACTATCAGTGAAATCAGGAAGGAGCTTGTAAAAAGATGGTACTTTAAATAACACTGGACTACCAGAAAACAATGGGCAGGTTAATAAAGCAGGTGGGACAGAAGTGAAATCCATTGATTTAATTGAAGGAAAAAAAAACTAATCATCTTGAACATAATTACATATTAACCTCAGTTAAAAATATCTTTAGCCCATAAGGCACTCTTGTAAGTTTCCAATAATACAGATTAAAGTAAAAAAAAAGTATTTAATATCAATTCATTTGTTTACTATCAATGCATTAATTTAATATCAATGCATTTTGTGAAAATTTTTATGTAGATGAATGATGATGAAGTGCTCTTATTACAAATCACAGTCTGAAAAGCCACCCTATGTGTATGGTTTACTCTCCACAGTACTCTTAGCAGTGCAGTTGGAAAGTTTCTATCAAAATTTCCTAAAATAGCCGTGCGCAGTGGCTCATGCCTGTAATCCCAGCACTTTGGGAGGCAGGCGATTGCCTGAGCTCAGGAGTTCGAGACCAGCCTGGCTAGCATATGAAACCCCGTCTCTACTAAAAGTACAAAAATTAGCTGGGCGTGGCAGTGGACGCCTGTAGTCCCAGCTACTCGGGAGGCTGAGGCAGGAGAATCTCTTGAACCTGGGAGGCAGAGGAGTTGCAATGAGCCCAAGATTGCCCCACTGCACTCCAGCCTGGGCAACAGAGCAAGACACCGTCTCAAAATAATAATAATAATAATAATAACAAAATAAAGTTTCCTAAAAGGTAAACATATTTTGGTTGAAACTGAGTAGTCATGACCCCTTTCTGCCGGGATGTGTGATAGTCAAATAGCAACTTCCCTCATTTGGGCTTCATCCTATTCATGTTACACCCTGGTTCTTTAAAAAAAATAACTGTGCAATGCTTTTTTTTCACATCTTTCTCTCTGTATTTTTTTTTATTATGTACCCGAGGAGGTGGCTGTATTTATTTAATAGTAAAAGACATGAAAGGAACATACACTCATAGTTCCACACTGATAGCAGTTCAATACTAGGGCTCTGTAATATCTGGAGCAACAGTAAATAAATAACAATTATCAATGGTCTTTGTGATTTCTTCACATAACCATAGATTATTCAGAAACATGATGTTTAAATATATGGAGACTTTTAAAGATATCTAATTGTTATTGATTTCTAATTTAATATTCTTTTGGCAAGAGAATATACTCTATTTTAACCCTTTAAAATATATTAAGACATTTTTATTGCTCACTATGTAGCCTGCATTCATAAATATTACCCCATGCTTTTGAATAGAACACCTATCAAGCAGCTGTTGGATGTCATGTTCTAAAATGTGGATTAGAAAAAGTCATTGATGGTGGTTTTCAAATCTTCAATTCTTTTGGATTTTTGTATGTTTATTTTATCAAATACTAAGAAATGGTATTAAAATTTCTAGCTATGATTCCCTATTTTTCTATTTTCTCCTTTAGTTTTTTCAGTTTTCAAATCATATACTTTTCATCTGTTCTACTATGTATATATATTCAACCTTATGTCTTTTAGATGAATTGATTCTTTTTACCATTATGAAATGACATTTTAATTTTCAGTAATGTTCTTTATCATAAAATGTATCTTGAAAACATTATGTTATTAATATTACTTTATAATCAAGGCCACTCATATATTACACTATTTTTTAAATGTTGATATTTGTATAAGATTAGTGGCTCCCAGAAATTAATATATTGTGAGATTTTATGTTGTGAGAGGATACAAAAAAATGAGTTGCTTCTTCACATCCACCTTGATTCACTAATTTATTTAATTCATTCAATACAGAGACATAGTCTGTGCCAGCCTCTGTTCTTGGTGCTGAAAATACAGCCATAAAAAGCAAAAGAGATATCCCTATCCGCTGGAGCTTACATTCATCAATAAGAGAAGCTTACCTTTTATCCATGTATACACTAGAATTATGTAAAATTCCAGCTCGAATTTAAAGCAAATGTATCTGTTGATAATGAAATGGTCACAAATCTACTCATATTAACTCAGTTTTCTCAATAACTAGGCTTTTAGAACTGATAGCTTAAAATAAAACATTTTTTACTTTCCATTTTATAAGAGTGAGCAGCTTTGGAAGCCAAAACTGTTAAATATCTAGGTAAATACCCACTATTATAAAATAGTTAGAAGAAAATTCTTAAAGAATAGTTATCATGAAATTAAATAGTTATTTGGACATGGCAGAAAAAAAACAAATTGTCTGGAAGTTAAGCATGTAGAAAGTATCCAGATTGAGGCTGAGAGAAAAATATAAAAATGGAAAATACAAGAAATAAATTAAATGTGTTTTGTAAAGTGGTGAAAATATATCATGTACTTTTTAAACTTTGAAATAATTATGGATTCCATATGCCTTTAAACCTTTTTAAGTTTAGGAGTACAAGTGCAGATTTGTTACATAGGTAAAATTGTGGAATCAGGGTTTGTTGTACAGATTATTTCATCACCCAGGTATTAAGCTTAGTATCCATTATTATTTTTCCTGATCCTCTCCCTCCTCCCACCCTTTACCCTCAGAAAATTCCCAGTGTATGTTGTTCCCCTCTATATATCCTTGTGTTCTCATCATTTAGCTCCTGCTTCTAAGTGAGAATATGTGGCATTTGGTTTTCTGTTATTGCATTAGTTGTTAAGGATTATGGTCTCCAGCTCCATCCATGTCCCTGTAAGGGACATGACCTTGTTCTTTTTTATGGCTGCATAAAATTCCATGATTTATGTCAGAATCCCATAAAGTGAGAAGAGAGAGCATTAGTCCAGACAATTTGAAGAGCTACTGGCTAAATATTTTCTAAAACTGGTGAGATATAGCCCACATAATTTATCTCTAAATAACCCTATATGAAAAAACAAAACAATATAAGAAAGAATAACAAAAAAGCACCTGGGTCATATTATGTTAAAATTCTTGAGATTTAAAAGGAAAGATACATTTTAAGTAGATAGAGGGAAAGTAAAGGACATATAACCTTCAAAGGGACTACCATGGTGGCACTCTGAAAGGACAGAAGGCAGAGGAGAGAGGATGGTGTGACAACATTCTCAATGTATGCAAACTGGAAAGTTGCTTAACTATTATAATATTATTAAAAATAGAATTTAAGACAAGTTAATATTAAAAGCATAGGATTTTTTTCTTACTAAAATGGGACTAAATTAAACAGAGAAATGCAAAAATGCAAAATGTTTATGCACCTGACAATGTAGTTTCAAAGCACCTGACAAGGTAGTTTCAAAATACATGAAGTAAAATTCATTAGAACTAAAATGAAAGATAGATCAATACACAGTCACAATTGGAGATGTCAATTCATTTCTCTCAGCAACTAAAAAACAAGCAAATAAAAATCAAGGAGGCATTAAAAAGCAGCAAGAATAGATTATCTAAACAACATGATTTAAAAACTTGATCTATATGACAAATATAGAGTGCTGTACCTGCCCAATGCAGAATAAATACAATTTTAGTGTCTATAAAATACTTGATAAAATATACCATATGCTAGACAATAAAGAATTCTCAAATTCTCAAAATAATTGTGATTAGTAATTGTGCAGAGTATATTCTCTATCCGTAGAGAAATGTAGGTAAAAATATGCAACAGAAAGATAACTTAAAAATTCCATTAAATGATTGGGAAATAGGCAATACCAAATTATGTAAGCCAAGCATTAAAGACGTCACATGGGAAATTAGAAAATATTTTAAACTAAATCATAATGTAAATACTATATATTAAAATGCTCAGAATAGAATCAAAGCAATATTTAATGAAAATGTATAGCCTTATATCTGTCAAATTAGAAAAAAATTTAAAAGTCTGAAGATCAATTATTTAAATATCTATTTCAAGAAACTTTATAAGCAGTGTACATGTGAATAAAAGCAAAAATATTAATGAAATAGCAAATACATTATAGAAAATCAAACAGTCTTAATTACTTTGAAGATATTAAACATTTGCATATTTCAAAACACTCATCAAGAAAAACGAAAGAAAACACAAATGCCAATATTAGGAAAGAAAAGAGTGGTATCACTGTAAATCTTACACATAATAGAAAAATAATAAAAGCATATGATGAACAACTTAAAGCGCCAAAACTTGATTAATAACTAAAATGCATACCTTTCTTGAAAAAGGAAATTTACCAAACTTGGAAGAAAAAAATTCCTTCAGTTCCACAAAAGCAATGGCAACAAAAGCCAAAATTGACAAATGGGATCTAATTAAACTAAAGAGCTTCTGCACAGCAAAAGAAACTACCATCAGAGTGAAAAGGCAACCTACAGAATGGGAGAACATTTTCACAACCTACTCATCTGACAAAGAGCTAATATCCAGAATCTACAATGAACTCAAAAAAATTTACAAGAGAAAAACAAACAACCCCATCAAAAAGTGGGCAAAGGATATGAACAGACACTTCTCAAAAGAAGACATTTATGCAGCCAAAAAACACAGGAAAAAAAATGCTCATCATTACTGGCCATCAGAGAAATGCAAATCAAAACCACAATGAGATACCATCTCACACCAGTTAGAATGGCAATCGTTAAAAAGTCAGGAAACAACAGGTGCTGGAGAGGATGTGGAGAAATAGGAACACTTTTAAACTGTTGGTGGGACTGTAAACTAGTTCAACCATTGTGGAAGTCAGTGTGGCAATTCCTCAGGGATCTAGAACTAGAAATACCATTTGACCCAGCCATCCCATTACTGGGTATACACCCAAAGGATTATAAATCGTGCTGCTATAAAGACACATGCACATGTATGTTTATTGCGGCACTATTCACAATAGCAAAGACTTGGAACCAACCCAAATGCCCAACAATGATAGACTGGATTAAGAAAATGTGGCACATATACACCATGGAATACTATGCAGCCATAAAAAATGATGAGTTCATGTCCTTTGTAGGGACATGGATGAAACTGGAAACCATCATTCTCAGCAAACTATCGCAAGGACAAAAAACCAAACACCGAATGTTCTCACTCATAGGTGGGAATTGAACAATGAGAACACATGGACACAGGAAGGGGAACATCACACTCTGGAGACTGTTGTGGGGTTGGGGGAAGGGGGAGGGATAGCATTGGGAGATATACCTAATGTTAAATGAAGAGTTAATGGGTGCAGCACACCAACATGGCACATGTATACATATGTAAGAAACCTGCACATTGTGCACATATACCCTAAAACTTAAAGTATAATAATAATAAAATAAAAATAAAAAATAAAAAGTTTAACCATCTTAAGCCAAATAAATATGACTAATTTTTCTTTGAAAAAAAAGAAATAATCGTTGATAGTTTATAAGTCAAAAAAAAAAAACAAAAGTAAATTTTTAATCAAAAGCATTTTTAGAAAGGGACCTCCAGGCACAAATGGTTTCACTGGTGAATTGTTATAGATGTTTTAGAGAAAAATGAAACCATCTTTAAAATTTTTTTTCACACAATGGAAACAGTAAGTATACATGTTATCTTAGTTTATAAGGCCAGGACATTGTAAGAAAAGATAATTACATGTTAATCTCTCTTATAAATACAGACCTAAGAGTGCAAAACTAAATATTTGCTAATTGAATCCAGCCATATAGAAAAAATAATATCTCACAATTCGGAAAACTAGAAACATAGGAAATAAAAATTATCTAATAAAGAATATTTATAAAATGCCTATTGTAAACATCATATACATTGACACATTGTTGAGAACATTTTTACTGAGTTCAGTCTCTACTGAATTCAACATGATGAAGTCCTAGGCAAAGCAATAAGGTAAGAAAAAGTACCTATGTAGAGGATTTGAAAAGTGGAAATAAAATTTTCATTTATTCACATATCACATTGGGGCTGGAAAAAGTTCTATAGGCATCTAACGAAAAACTTTTAGAACTAAGTCAATATCAAACAGTTACCTGGGTAATAATGTATATTTCTATGTATTAGCAAATATTAAAATGCTTTAGTTGTAGTAATATCAAAACAGTAAATGTGTAGAAATAAATTTAATCTAAAATACTGATTTTTATTCTTAATAGTTAAAGAAATCAAAATAAGTGTAATATCAAAACAGTAAATGTGTAGAAATAAATTTAATCTAAAATATTGATTTTTATTCTTAAAATTTAAAGAAATCAAAATAAGTGGAGAGATATACCACATTCATATAAAATCATAATCATTAGGCAAATAGATTTTCTTATTGGAAATTGATAAAAATTGACTATTAATAGCCAGATATAAAAGATTTATATGATATCATTAATGTAAAATTTTAATCCAGTGATATTAATATTTAATTTAAAAATTCAGAATTGTACTGCCTTTTTGGGGCAGTGGATGAGGTGTATTGATTTTGATAGGGGATAAGGAAGGCTTTCATTGTGCTAGAAATAATCTTTGTCTTCATCTGGATGGAATTTTCTAGACGTACTTGTTCATAAAAATCTACTAACCTTTTATGATTAAGGCAAATTATTTTTATTCAATTATATTAAATATTAATTTCTTAAAAAAGAAAAGATGTCTATATAACTTAAATAAAATTGATATAAGCTTAACATGGAGGAAGAAAATCTGAGAAAATGACTGGAAAAATCCATGGTATTTACATCTTTTAAAGTTTCTTCAATAATAAACGAGCAACATATTATTTCAATGGTGATGAAAATGACAGATACACTTAACTATTTCTGTGACTTCCATGTGTCATTTTAACACTTTATGGTGAATGAGTGCATCTCTTTAGAAACTTTAAAATATCAGTAAAATATTCAATTTTATTGATGTAGATATTGAAAAGCCCCTAATTTGAATGGCCCCAAATCCTAAATATTGTTTATAATATCATTTATTATATGTATAATAAGTTATGTATACATATAATACCTATCTATAATATATAACTCTATAAATTTAAGTCTTTTAATTCTGCTCTAATAGGTCATTTTAATGAAACTGCTTGAATATTTGATAGTCAATGGAATCATGGTTTCACTTGTTGAAACTACTCACAATACTTTTTTTCCATTAGGTTCATTATATGTTACTTTTTTATTTTAAATATTAATTTATCTCATTTTAAGATACATAATTTTTCTCTCTTTTTGTTTTGTTTTGTTTTGTTTTCATTGATAAAAATTACTTCTTATCATCAAGTTTGACCTTTTAAGGTTTAGGGCACCATTATTTTTCCAGGCCACCCAACTGTTCCATATTAGAATAGAAATGAACTAAACCCCTGTAAATATATGAATTGTTAGGTGTTGATAAATGAAATGCTCATTGCATTAACAAAAAGCCATTGACAGCAGAAATAAAATTATACATCAGAGTAAGGATTCAAAGCATGGTGAGTATAAGCTTTTGGTTAGCTAAATATATAATTTTTACCGAAGACATTCGTCTTTCTGTCTTCTTGACAAAGTTTTAATAATATTTCTTTACTTTTGTTTCAGTAAAATTAGAAGTACATAGGAGATAATAAAAGCTTCCCTAGACTAAGAATGAGGAGATCTGTATCCTAAGTACACAATACTATTAACTAACATTCAAACGTGGCTCAAAGTTATCTCAAATTTGCTGTTTAGAATCCTTCTTTTGAAAAAGATTTTGTAAGCCTTAATTATGCCACAATGACCTTAAGGTCAACTGATGCGAAGTGAGGGAATAGGCAAGACAAGTGTAATGTCAGATTAGGGTTACAAAATTGCTCCAAACTTGATGTAGTACCCAGAAGCTCTAGGAAAAGCATTACAATTTACTTTTTTTAAAAAAAATTATACTTTAATTTCTAGGATACATGTGCAGAACGTGCAGGTTTGCTACATAGGTGTACATGTGCCATGGTGGTTTGCTGCACCCTTCAAGCCATCATCTACGTTAGGTATTTTTCCTAATGCTATCCCTCCCCCAGCCCCCAACCCCCTGACAGGCCTCGGTGTGTGATGTTCCCCTCCCTGTGCCCATGTGTTCTCATTGTTCAACTCCCACTTCTGAGTGAGAACATGCAGTGTTTGGTTATCTATTCTTGTGTTAGTTTGCTGAGAATGATGGTTTCCAGCTTCATCCATGTCCCTACAAAGGACATGAACTCATTCTTTTTTATGGCTGTATAGTATTCCATGGTATATATGTGCCACATTTTCTTTATCCAGTCTATCATTGATGGGCATTTGGGTTAGTTCCAAGCCTTTGCTATTGTGAATAGTGCAGCAATAAACATACGTGTGCATGTGTCTTTATAGTAGAATGATTTATTATCCTTTGGGTATATACCCTGTAATGGGATGGCTGGGTCAAATGGTATTTCTAGTTCTAGATCCTTGAGGAATCGCCACACTGTCTTCCACAATGGTTAAACTAATTTCCACTCCCACCAACAGTGTAAAAGCATTCCCTTTTCTCCACATCCCCTCCAGCATCTGTTGTTTCCTGATTTTTTAATGATTGCCATTCTAACTGGCAAGAGATGGTATCTCATTGTGGTTTTGATTTGCATTTCTCTAATGATCAGTGATGGTGAGCTTTTTTTCATGTTTGTTGGCTGCATAAATGTCTTCTTTTAAGACAAGTCACACCCTGTTATTTCTTAGTTTATGAAGATTCGATAAGCTACTTCATCATATAAAAGGTGATTTTCATCCAAAATGTCCTTTTATTTTCTACATTTCAGAAAATAAAGGAACAAAATATAATGAGGGATCAGAAGGAACCAGAATATAAAAATGGCAGAAAATGAATTCCTGGGCTCAATGGATCTGCACACCTCAGCCTCCCAGAGTGCTGGGATTGCAGGCATGAACCACTGTGCCTGGCCCATAAATATTTCAATGAGTGTATATGTGCATGTATGTGTGTATGTATATATTACATGCAGAAGGAGAGAGAATCACACTCAACACAGAGAGCACTACCATCACCCCCAAAGGTTTCCTCCTGTTCATTTTCAGTCAGTCTTCTTCCATATGTCAGTCTCCTGGCAGTCATTGATCTGCATTTGTTACTATAGCCTTGACTTCTCTATTCCTTCAAATAAATGGAGTCATATAGTATGTAGTCATTTGCATCTGGCTTCTTTCACTTAATAGGATGCTTTTGAAATTCATCTATATATATTCCATATACATATGGGATTTAACTATTAAATAATTCTATAAAACAAGTGCTTTTCATCTATTTCTTTATATTTGTTTCAAATATATTAGGATTTCAGATATCCATTTTAAATAGAAGAAATGTGCACCTGAAAACATATATATGTATAGAATATATATGTGTGTGTGTGTGTATATATATATATATATATATATTCAGAAAATTTTTAGTATATGCCTACATTCTTTCTGTAATTCCTCACCTCAATTTTGGTTTTAGAGTGAATATTCTAATGGCAGGTCTTTTCATAGTCATCTTAAAAAGATGCTAAATGTATATAAATTCTACAAGTGTCACTATGACATTTTCGTTCCTAGCAAACACCAGATAGGTAGAAGCAACCCTGTAAATATTATTTTTAAAATAGTGTTTCCCATTTATGAGCAAAGCAGTGCAGTATCCTGGTTAAGAACACAGGCTCTGGGCTGGGCGTGGTGGCTCACGCCTGTAATTCCAACACTTTGGGAGGCCGAGGCAGGCTGATCATGAGGTCAGGAGATCGAGATCATCCTGGCTAACACAGTGAAACCCCGTCTCTACTAAAAAATACACAAAAATTAGCTGGCCGTGGTGGCAGGCGCCTGTAGTCCCAGCTACTCGGGAGGCTGAGGCAGGAGAATGGCGTGAACCCAGGAAGCAGAGCTTGCAGTGAGCCAAGATCGCGCCACTGCACTCCATCCTGGGTGACAGAGTGAGACTCTGTCTCAAAAAAAAAAAAGAACACACGCTCTGGAACATGCCTGAGTTCAAAGCACATTCCTGCCGCTTATGAACTGAATGTTTGGTATAGTTAATCTCACAGTGTCTAAACCTATAAACTGGGGAAATAATAGTGACCACTTGAGAGGATAATGATTATATTACTTAATGCATGTTGCATGCTTAAAACAGTGCATTTTGCATGTGATTTGCTCTGTACTAGCAGTCTTGATTAGCTAGCAAAGTAGAGTTGGTTTTGAAAATTGTATATGTGTTTATGTGTTAATTGCAGTCTATGTTGTGATATTAGGAAAATTAACTATTAAATAATTCTATAAAGCAAGTGCTTTGCATCTATTTCTTTATCTCTCTTTGTTTCAAATATATTAGGTTTCAAATATCCATCTTAAATAAAAGAAATGTGCACCTAAAAATTTCATAATTTAAATCCTGCAGGATTCATATGATCCACTGGTTGGAATCACTGATTTTTCTTGTCTGCCTCTGGACAATTTCTACACCTGCTCTCATACATATTCTCAGCATGGATCTCTGACAGCCTCCTTCTCTTTTTTTGGTCCTGCTTTGAATTAGGTTTTCTTATATTTACAATGGAGATAATGAATCTGGGGCCTAGTCATCTCGTGAAGATATTCACAAGGTCTTTTGAAAAAACATGGATCTCTTTGTAATCCATATTCTTGTAAAGAAATAATATTGTTCTATCATGTTCATAAACACCTACCCAAATCAGAAATACAGATGACATGTAAGTCATAATCCTTTCGTCCAAGGCTTACACTCACAGGACTCATTTTCTTTTGGCATTTACTTCATGCCCCATAAAGTTTTAAAATCAATATTTCAAAGCCTCCTTTAATCAGATTTTCTATGGCCTTTATCCTTACAAAAATGTTGGCTGCTTTACATTGTACTAGAGTCTAGCTTTGTCATTCAAACTTTAGACTATGAAATTGGTTTAATTACATAGTTAAAGAATCCATAATCTGCCTAAACTTTGTAAAGAAATTCTCTGCTTTGGTATTAAAACAGGAAAGTCAATTTATAATAACAAGCTAAACAGATTATAGAACCTTTTCTTCTATAATTTTTCATGTTCTACTTTTTTATTGGGATCTGGAAATTATTTTCATTATGGATAATTCTTAGAGAAGAACTTTATAAATACACATTACACTGTAATTAATAACAAAAACTTAATGCCAGTTGTTGGTTTTGTATCATCTGAGATAAAAGTAGAAGCATAAATCTCCTGTCTTCTTGATTGCTAAAGATATTTCAAACCATGGCTAAAAATAACTTCATACAATCAAGTTTGACCTTTTAATATTCATAGGGGTTTATGGCATCTTTTTATTTCTCTGTTTCAGGAACCACTGTTCTTTAAAAAATGGAAAATAAGATGTAACTCTTAAAATATTTCAGAGCAAACTTTCCTGGGTTTAAAATTCTATTTATTTTTACTTTTATTTTTTTTCCTTTTAGGTATTTCAAAATATTTTTAATTTCAGTGTAATCATTATATATATTAATTCCTTAAGGTCAAAAAGCTGATACACACTGCCTAATAGTTGAAAACGAACTAGAATTCCCATAAAAAGAATGTATACTTAGTGGTTAATAAATGAAACAAAATATTTGTTTTATGTTTAAAAAGTCAATCATAGAGCCATAATTTAAATATCACATAAGAAATAGCATTCAATGCATTTGGTGAACATAAGTCATCTCTTAGATCAATAAACACATCTGTTTTTCTGGGACTGTTAATAATTTTTTTTCCTTTATAAAAAAAATCAGTGCTGTTTTGTTTTGTCCTTTCTAGATGAGCATTCTATCACCCTCAGGGATATTTCTAATTTATTTAAAAAATAAAGAACTCTCATGTTAGATAATTTCATAAACTATAAGAGACTTAGAGCTAATGTGGACCTCTGAAGAAATTAAGATCAGTTACTCTGGATAATTTAACCAAGACACTCTTTTATAAAACACTGTCTTTCTAATTCTTACAAAAACAGAATCCAAAACCAGAGAGATTTAGTTTTCAGACTTTCAAAGAACCAAATCCACATAAATAAAAATTAAATTTTAGTAGTTCTCTGTTACTAGGTTAGGCATAATATATTAGATATATTTTTGCCCAAGTTGGAAGAACAATTGGAATGGTCTGACTTAAATGCATATCTTATTTGATAAAGTATTAAATCTTTGGTGGTTGGATTTATATTTATTGTACAATTATTCATGGACTTGTTTCAAAATACAGTCTTTGGAATATAGGGTTTGACCTGGGTTTGAGTCCCAATATCACCACTCTAAATTACCAGGAAAATCCTTTAATTACAATTAGCCTCACGTTTTCTCATCTGCAAAATGAGGACAATAATACCTTATATACATCATAGGGTAGTTATTTGATTAAAGGGTAGTTATTTGACTATCTCATAGGTAGTTATGAGATGAGGCACATAAAGTACCCAGCACAGTACCTGGTGTACAGAAAGTGTTCATTAACATTTGTTAGCTATTATTGGTATTATTATTACACTTAGGCAGTTGTTGTGAATGTTAGTGATTGCCACAAAGATAAACAAATTGGACTTCTGAATACTACTGGTACAGATAGCAGGTATTTGCGTGTGTTGGGGGTGGAGGACAGCTTTCTCCTCTTGTGTCACTAGTTCATTCATTAAATACAATTCAACAAAGTTCAACCATCCACAATTATTCCCTGTTAATATACAAATATTTATTAGCAACTGTCATCTATATAGTATCTACTGTATAATATATAAAGAGCCAGTGGGTAACATTTTAGTAGTATAAGGCATGGATGGTCTATGTTCTTAAATAATTTGTATTTTGGCTGAATTAAAGAAGACTAATTCCTACAGGTCATTCACACACAACATAATGGACTATAAACTCAAAGGCTAAATATCATAGCAAAAGTGTTGATGTGGTAGTGTATTGGTAAGAAGTTCTCCAACTTCTTACCTATTTATTTAATACCTATGAATTATTCCTTATTCCTTATTTAATACCTATGAATTATTCCTTTCTCCAATGGTTCAGATGAATACTAAAATTACATGAAAATTCCTACATCTTATTTTGGGGAAACAAAACGTATTCAGAAATAGATAAAATGTGGGTTCTTCAAATGACCCAGTTTAATAGACAATAATGTTGAAATGACTAAATTTGGACCCTGCAGATAGATGGATAGATAAATGCATAGATAGATAGATAGATAGATAGATAGATAGATAGATAGATAGATAGATAGATAGACATCAGCATAGATAAGGATTAATCTGCAATCTATACTTTACAAATCGCAGAAACAAATTTTAAATATATTCATCAAGCAAAGTGGGGAGTAGGAGAGAAGGATTGATACTGGAATTTGCAGGGTAAGCACTAAATTCAGAAATAGCTTAATCCATGTTCAAACAATATTGTGGGTTTCTCCCTCTTTTCTTTATACCCATCCATCATTCAGCTGGCCTTCCCTGACTTGTGTTAGATGCACTTTCTTGCAGACTTTCTCTATGAGGTGGCCCCTGGCAGTCCAAAGTTACATCCTCACTACCTCAAGGACAAACAGGAATCAGAGACAAATGATTTTTTAACCATCTCAACAAAAATCCCATGAGTACATTATCTGCATCATTAGTTCTGGTTTGTGTACCTACATGACCATGCCTGAAGTAAGCACACTTGTGTATGAGGGAGGGAAATGAGAGAGGGTTACAATGCCTTAATTGGTCAAGTCTGATATTCCTAATGCTAGAGGTGAATTCAGCACCACCACAAATAAACCAAGTGAATTCTTATGAAGGAAAGGTTTCTTCTCCAATGAAAAAATCACTATTGTATCAAAAGAACATTATATAGATGCCTGGAATCTTCCAAAACAGATGCCCATTATACTGATAAAGGCAGGTTTGACTCCAGATTACCAGTGCTTATTGTAGAAACCCTAGCACTGTTCCAATAATTTCAGTCAAATCTTCTTCAGCAACAGCTACTTAGTAACTAAACTCTAAATTGCTTTCCAGTGAGCTTTCAATACTTTAAACTACTTAGGTAAATATTATAATCTTCATACTGCAGATGAGGAAACTGGAGCATATCTGGGGTTTGTGAATGGCTATAGGGCAAATAGAATGAGGAAAAATTATACAAAGCCATGTCTACCTAATGTAATTACCTTACCAATTTAATGAAATCATTCAGCATTCTCTTAAGTCATAAGTCATAAAGCCCATGTCCTATAAGAGCAAGAAAGATAATATAAATTGATGGAGTGAGCAGGGTAGTGATGAACAAAGTCATGAGTCTGCATATCTTCTCCAAAGGGGACAGCTTCTACTCAGTGCCAAATAGTTGTTATCATGCAAAAATTCAGGCCGTGTATGCCTAATCTTCTCATTTTTAAAAAAGTGGCTGACTGTCTGATGGTGGTATGAAATTTCCTCATATTTAAAACTCAAAATCTAATTTATTGAAAAACAAAATGCAACTCTGTGGGCCACAAAGAAACATTTCTCATGCCATCCATATATGGCCTGCTAATTCCAATAGCTCAAGACTCTGGCTCCCACTCAATGTCAACACTGCAGAATTAAGTATGTTTACTCCACCTTTCTCAACCTACTGTTCTGAGAATGAATAAATTCACAGGAGCATTGTGCTGTTTGTTGGCTAAATGAGCTGCATACATTAATCTTGTTCGTGATCATTTTTCTTTGTCCTCCTCTTTCTTTGCTGCATTGTTATTATATCTCCAAAAATTGTGGAGTAAAGTGGAAGAAGAAGCAGATAGTATAGAAAAAATTAGGAAGATGATCAGAAAGATTCCATCTAGTTAATATGGAGATAAAAGAGGGCAATAATTTGAAAAAAAGTTTCAGAGATAGAATCAAAAGTATTTAACTCCTTTGGATAGTTAAGAGAGAGGAATTGTAGGGTGTATTTGTCTATTTTCACACTGCTGATAAAGACATAGCTGAGACTGGGCAATTTACAAGAAAAAAAAAAGAGGTTTAATTGGACTTACGGTTCCACAAGGGTGAGGAGGCCTCACAATCATAGTGGAAGGCAAGGAGGAGCAAGTCACATCTCACATGGATAGCAGCAGGAAAAGAGAGCTTGTACAGGAAATTCCCCCTTATAATAACCATCAGATGTCATAAGACTTACTCTCCATTATGAGAATAACATGGGAAAGACCTGCCCATATGATTCAATTACCTCCCACTGGGTCTCTGCCACAAGATGTGGGAATTCAAGATGAGATTAAAGTGGGGACACAGCCAAACCATATCATTCTGCCCTGGCCCTCTCAAATCTCATGTGCTCACATTGAAAAATCAATCATGCCTTCCCAAAAGTCCCCCAAAGTCTTAACTCATTTCAGCCTTAATTCTAAAGTCCACAAGTCCAAAGTCTCATCTGAGACAAGGCAAGTCCCTTCTGCCTATGAGCCTGTAAAATCAAAAGCAAGTTAGTTACTTCCTAGATACAATGGAGGTACAGGCATTGAATAAATACAGCCATTCCAAACGGGAGCTATTGGACAAAACAAAGGGGCTACAGGCCCTATGCAAGTCCAGTGGGACAGTCAAATCTTAAAGATCCAGAATGATCTCCTTTGACTCCATGTCTCATATCCACATCACAGTGATGCAACAGGTGGGCCCATGGTCGTGGGCAGCTCCCTGTGGCTTTGCAGGGTATAGCCCCCCTCCTGGCAGCTTTCATAGCTGGCATTGAGGTCTGTGTCTTTTCCAGGAGCAGAGTGCAAGCTGTCAGTGGATCTACCATTCTGGTGTCTGGAGGACTGTGGCCCTCTTCTCACAGCTGTACTAGGCAGTGCCCCAGTAGGGACTCTGTGTTGGGGCTCCCACCCGACCTTTCCCTTCCATACTGTCCTCACAGAGGTTCTCCACAAGGGCCCTGCCCCGGCAGCAAACTTCTGACTGGGCATCCATGCATTTCCATATTGCCCCGTCTCCCTTATGTTTTTATCAGGTGAAATCTAGGTGGAGGCTACCAAATCCCATTTCTTGACTTCTGTGAACTCGCAGGCTCAACACCACATGGAAGCTGCCAAAGTTTGGGGCTTCCACCCTCTGAAGCAACAGCCCAAGCTGTACCTTGGCCCCTTTTAGTCATGGTTGGAGTGGCTGGGATGCAGGGCACCAAGTCCCTAGACTGCACACAGCATGGGGACCCTGGGCCATGTCCAAGAAACCATTTTCTCCTAAGCCTCCAGGCTTGTGATGGGAGGCCTGCTGTGAAGACCTTTGACATGCACTGGGGACATTTTCCCCATTGTTTTGGAAATTAACATTCTGCTTCTCATTACTTATGCAAATTTCTGCAGCCAGCTTGACTTTCTCCTCAGAAAATGGAATGTTCTTTTCTATCACATTTTCAGGCTGCAAATTTTCTGAACGTTTATGTTCTGATTCCCTTACAAAACTGAATGCCTTTAACAGCACCCAAGTCACCTCTTGAATGCTTTGCTGCTTAGAAAGTACTTCCACTAGATATCCTAAATCACCTCACTCAAGTTCAAAGTTCCAAAAATCTCTAGGGCAGGGGGAAAATGTCGCCAGTCTCTTTGCTAAAATATAACAAGAGTCACCTTTGCTCCAGTACCCCAAAACTTCCTCATTTCCATCTGAGACCACTTCAGCCTAGACTTTATTTTGCATATCGCTATCAGCATTTTGGGCAAAGCCATTCAATAAGTATCTAGGAGGTTCCAAACTTTCCCATATCATCCTGTCTTTCTGAATCCTCCAAACTGTTCCAACTGTTAGCTAGTTCCAAAGTCGCTTCCACATTTTTGGGTATCTTTTCAGCAGCACCCCACTCTACTGGTACCAATTTACTGTATTAGTCCATTTTCATGCTGCTGATAAAGATATACCCAAGACTGGGCAATTTACAAAACAAAGAGATTTAATTGGTCTTATAGTTCCACATGGCTGGGGAAGCCTCACAATCATGGTGGAAGGCAAGGAGAAGTGAGTCACAGCTTATGTGGATGGTGGCAGGCAAAGAGAGCTTGTGCAGGAAAACTCCCCCTTACAATAACCATCAGATTTGTGAGACTTACCCACTCTCATGAGAACAGCATGGGAAAGATCTGCCCCAATGATTCAATTATCTCTTACTGGGTCCCTGTCACAACACATGGGAATTCAAGATGAGATCTGGGTAGGGACACAGCCAAACCATATCACAGGGATTTCCCTGATTTTTACTTCATAAAAATATTAAGGTCAAGAGGGCTTGTTCAAATCCCTGATTGATTACAGAGATGTACCTGGAACAACCCAGACATTGTTGTGACTTCCAGCTATCAGTTGTCCAGCTCTTTCAAATCCCCAGAGATACTCAGGTTCTCTCTCTCTTTTAGTCTCTCTCTCTCTCACTCTTTCTCTCTCTCTGTGAATGTGTGTGTGTGTATTACACAGTGAGGTGACAAATGGATAGAGACATGCTGCTTATATTTGTGCCTGATCATATGAAAATATTAAAATGTGGAAAGGAGAATTGATGTTGAGCATAAAACATAAGTAAAACAAAACCAAAAAGAATAGATATCATTCTTTCAGTAATAAAATTCATTGTTCTTCTAAACATTCCAAAAGTACTTTTTTTTTTTTTTTTTTTTTTTTTGAGACGGAGTCTCGCTCTTTCGCCCAGGCTGGACTGCAGTGGCGCTATCTTGGCTCACTGCAAGCTCCGCCTCCCAGGTTCACGCCATTCTCCTGCCTCAGCCGCCCGAGTAGCTGGGACTACAGGCGCCTGCCACCACACCCGGCTAATTTTTTTTTGTATTTTTAATAGAGACGGGGTTTCACCGTGTTAGCCAGGATGGTCTCGACCTCCTGACCTCGTGATCCGCCCGCCTCGGCCTCCCAAAGTGCTGGGATTACAGGCATGAGCCACCGCGCCTGGCCCCAAAAGTACTTTAAGGAAAGATCTGAATGCCTGTCTATCGGTCTATCTTTCTATCTCTCTACCTCCCTCCCTTTATTTGATCACCTAAAACAGGAGCATGCCTGTAATATTTTCTCAAATAATTTATTTTTCATTTCTTTCATTTGAGTAGGAAGGTTTTGCCTACAACTTGGTTTCAATTTCCCTACATTTTCTCCCACACATCACTTTTGTCACAGTCATATTAGCCTTTCTCTTTTTGTTCCTGGAACATGCCAAATTATTTTTCACTTGCTCTTTTTACTGCCTGAAATGTTCTTTCCTCAAAATTTCACAGGCCTGACTATTTCTCCCTATTCAGACACCAGCTCAAATGCCCATTACTATTCAATCTGAAGTAAGTCCAGTCAAAGATTCTGTCCCTAATATTATCTTAAAACAATCATCCTATAGATTTATTGCTTCTGTTGTTTTTCTCTTCCACAAGATGGAAAGCTCTATTTGAAAAGTTCTTATCTGTCAACGGCACCATAGCATCCCCAAATCTAGAAGAGCGATTGACACACTGGTGGTGCAAAGGTCTTGGAGGGGCCACATCTTTACATCTTCTCCATAAGTGTTCGAGAAACAGAGAGGTGGAAAAAAAAAGAGAAAAAAGGAGTGGCAGATGATAAGTCCAGTCAATGATTCTGTCCCTAATATTATCTTAAAACAATCATCCTATAGATTTATTGCTTTTGTTGTTTGTCTCTTCCACAAGATGGAAAGCTGTATTTGAAGAGTTCTTATCTGTCAATGGCACCCCAAATCTAGAAGAGTGACTGACACATTGGTGGTGCAAAGGTCCACATCTTTACATCTTCTCCATAAGTGTTTGAGAAACAGAGATGGGGGAAAAAAAGAGAAAAAAGGAGTGGAAGATGAAGGTCAAAGTATTATCTACATCACTGGCTGTAGTATAGTGTGATAAACAAATAGGTCAACTAATTAACACAAGAATTAGGCTGACTCTCTCTACCTGTTTCAGTCAATATCAGCTGGGTCAGGCCTGATGCAGAAAAATATACTGCTGGAGGATCAAATGAGAATTCATGACTTACAATGAAAAAAGAAGGAGCTGTACTGAGACTGACCAGTTTATTCTTCTGGTATCAGATGAGATCACTCTGCTGTCCTAGAGGGTCAGTATGTCAAGAGGCGGAGAGAAGCCAATAGGTACATTAACTGACCTCCTTTCACCTGGAAAGAAGTGTCTCAAGAGAGAAATTAGTGATATCTCCTAAATAAGAAATCAATAAATATTCTTTGAATAATTTTTTCGTGAACTCATTACAGATGACAAAATGGAGATGTTGTGGGGTTAAAAGAGATTTTCCCCCAGATTTAAAGCAGGTGTCCTGTTTTCTAGTCCAGTATTTTCATACAACACTGTAATAAAGTATTTCTGAATTTAAACTTACTGGTGGCCAGCAAAGGCCACAGGAACTAATAATGAGGCATGAATGAAAGAAAACAGATATGTCCTGAAATTGTAATAGGGGACATGAGACCAGTGTTTACATTCCAAGCACCCATCAGTTTGGGATCTAAGAGCCGGTTTTCTCTGCTCATTGGCTGCTCATTTTCAGTGAGTCTCCATTACTAAAAGAAGACAAATAAACCATGGATAGAAACTAATCTATCTACACTCAATTAAACTACGACGCACTTAATTTTTTTGCCCCTAAGAGAGTGCAATTAGTCCCCTTTGAAAATGTATTCCTGTTCCAAGGGAATAGCAGAACCTCTGAAAATGGATGTTGAAAGCAAAAATGTTTTGAAGAAAGTCTCCTCACCCTTTCTTAACCATCTGGCATTTCAGTTTTCCCTCTTTAGGCCCAACTTCCCCTTGTTCAGTCCCTGATGCCTCCCTAAGATAATTCTCTGCATGTCATTGTTTTTCTAGTAATAATTTTCTTCTTATTGTTCACAGAGGCACCTAGGCTAAGATCTAAGAATGTATAGAGTCAGAAGTGTACCCTAGAAGTCACCCTGGCTTTGGAGGACAAAGTTCTAATTTCTAGTTCTTCGTTTTGTAACTCTGGGAAACTTGTTTCACTCTCTCTGGGCTTCAAGGCCCTTATTTTTAATTTGAAGTACGGGATTTCAGTTAGCAATAGAACACCTGAAACATTTTTTTCATCAAACTCTTAAATAAAAAGCAATAAAAATATGCAACTTCTCTGGTTAAAGTAGAAAGAGGTTGTGGGGGAAAGGGCAAAAACCAAAGGAAGTCCTTCTCAGGCCGTTAGATGTACAGGGAACAAGCCACTGAACTAAACAATGTCTGATATTCTTTGCATTTCTAATAACTCTGATTCCTTTTTAGTGAAATATGGTCTGTAGTTATCAGATAGATCTAAGTTTGAATTCAAGTATCTGTGTGACCCTTGGAAATTTATTTAACCTCTCTATGCAGATTGTTTCGTCTTTCGCAAACGGGGGAAGTTAAAATACATTACTCTGTTTTTCAAACAAATGTTGGCAAAATACTTTTTCTGAGACTTTCTTATCTCAACAATATCTTAGCATTTTTTCTGTGTAAATCTTCCTCATCTTTGTAACTGCTCCAAACTATTCCAAAGCATTAATCAAACATAATTACCCTTTGCCTTTCTATTGAACTTCAGAATTTTACCATATTTTTTTATTGTAAATAATCTTGCAATGAATATCTGTATGTTATCTACTTCCAAATGTAAAAGATATCTGGCTTATTTATACGTTTTTCTTTAATTCTTCCCAAAGCTCCATGTGTTAGACAGAATATAATTTTCTATTTGAGAATTGGGACTCAAACTCAGTTTTTTTCAGACTTCTAGAATATACAACTTTAAAAGAGTTACATTTCTAATAGTGAGATAATCATACTGTGGTCCCTCGCCCCCTGTAGTATTGGAGAAGACCAGATCTATGGCAGCCGTTTAGTGACTTTTTGGAAAACTTGCAAATTCTGATTGCAGGATTAATTTGAGTTCTGGAGTTTTAACCAGGACAGGCAAAACTTCAGCATTTGTGGTTGGGTGTGATCGCTCATGCCTGTAATCTCAACATTTTGGGAGACTGAGGTGGGCAGATCACCTGAGGTCAGGAGTTCAAGATTAGCATGGGCAACATGGCGAAACCCAGTCTCTACTAAAAATACAAATATCAGCTGGGAGGGGTGGTGCATGCCTGTAATCCCAGCTCGTGGGATTGAGGCACGAGAATGGCTTGAACCCCAGAAGTGCAGGTCGAAGTGAGCCGAGATTGGGCCACTGCACTCCAGCCTGGGCAACATGTTGAGATTCTGTTTCAGAAAACAAAAACAAAACTTTAGCAATTGTTTTTCTATCCATTGTTGGAGGGAAAAACAACAACCACAACAACACCTAGAACAACTTCTGAGTTAAGAGATGGGCAAAACAATCTGAGTGTAATTTACTCAATTATTTTTAGTTCCACATGAGACACTGACCATTTGGCATTTGGCAAGAGAAGAAAAATTCATTCACGCAACTCTTGGGAAATGTTAGGAATCTGAAGAACATTACAAACCACGAAGCCAGTATTCTGCATAGATGAAATAATATCCCTGCTAACTCAGTTTCTCACCCTGGATCCTACCAGCAACTGACACCAATTGTCTTACTACCAAAATTGCTGCAGTCACTTTTCAAGTGGTCTTCATCATGGAACTAGTCCTTTCATAGACAAAGAGTACTGAAGCAACAATAAAGTTGAAGCTGAGAGCAAAAACCTAAACAAAACCACTCAAGCAAACAAACATGGCTGCAGTGCATACCCATCTCTAGTGGGGATCCTGACTCTCATCTATATGAACCTCAAATCTCCTTAAATATTATTTATAGCTTACTCTCTCATCCCTACTTTACTACTTATTTGATTTTATCCATACCCTCAAATAAGGAAAACAAATCTTATAGTCAATTATTTATCCCAGCTTACACACATCCCATCATTTCCAACTTTTGCAAAGTTACCTTGTTGCATCCTTTCCTTCCATTTCACTTTACCCACCATTCTCTAGGATGTCATTATCTCATGACTGGATGGATAAACAACATTAGTCTGTCATCAAACTTTACTTTAGTCTTCTCCTTTTGTAGAATATTCTAATCATCCAAATGAAATTCCCGGAATATATCATAATGTATATATTGTTACAAAGATCCTAAAACACTTGGCTGACTGCAATAAACAATCCTATTTACTTTCAAGTTCCTTTATTCTAGGACATAATTGGCCATCTTTGTTCTCATATAAATCCTCAAAATGAGTCTAGCTTTCCTGTCTTCGCTCCACACTTTTTTATTTTATTCTTTTTTTTTGTAAATCCAGCACATCCCCTCATATTAAATATAAAAAGAAATAACCCTCAAGCTTTGTATTGAGGAAAGCGAGGGAAGAAAATACATAGTGAAGTTACAAAGTGCTTAACTTCAGAATAGTGCTGCAATAAACATGGGAGTGCAGATACCTCTTCAATATACTGATTTCCTTTCTTTTGGGTGTACACCTAGCAGTGAGATTGCTGACTTATATGGTAGCTCTATTTATCATTTATTGAGGAGCTTCTAAACTGTTTTCTATAGTGGTTGTACTAATTTACATTCCCACTAACAGTGAATGAGGATTCCCTTTTCTAAACATCCTTGCCAACATTTGCTATTGCCCTTGTTTCAGATAAAAGTTGTTTTAACTGCAGTGAGATGATATCTTATTGTAGTTTTGATTTTCATTTATCTGATGATCAATGATGTTGAGCACCTTTTCCTATACCTGTTTGCCATTTGTATGTTTTCTTTTGAGAAATGTCTATTGAGATATTTTACCTGTCTTTAACTCATAAGTTAAATTTTTTCCTCTAGAGTTGTTTGAGCTCTTTATATATTCTGGCTATCAATCCCTTGTCAGATGAATAGTTTGCATATATTTTCTCCCATTCTGTGGGTTGTCTCTTCACTTTGTTGATTGTTTCTTTTGCTGAGCAGAGCTTTTTAATTTGATGTGATTCTATCTGTCCATTTTTGCTTTGGTTGCCTTTGCTTGTGGGGTATTACTCAAGAAATCTTTTCCCAGAGCAATGTCCTGGGGAATTTCCCAAATGTTTCCTTTTTGTAGTTTCAGTCTGAGGTCTTAGATTTAAGTCTTTAATCAATTTCAAGTTTATTTTGTATATGGCAAGACATAGGCATCTAGTTTCATTCTTCTGCATGTGGATATCATTTTCCCAGCACCATTTATTGAAGAGATTGTCCTTTCTCCAATATCTGAATAGACATTTCTCAAAATAAGACATACAAATGGCAAACAGGTAAAAGAGAACGTGCTCAACATCATTGATACAACAATCTGAGAAATGCAAATCAAAATTACAATGTGATATCATCTCACTACAGTTAAAATGGCTTGTATCCAAAAGACAGGCAATAATACATGCTGGTGAGGATATGGAGAAAAGGGAACCCTGTACACTGTTGATGAAAATGTAAGTTAGTAAAACTACTATGCAGAACAGTTTTGAGGTTCCTCGAAAAACTAAAAAGAGCTACCATACGATCCAGCAATCCCACTGCTGGGTATATACCCCCCAAAAAGGAAATCAGTATATTGAAGAGATATCTACACTCCCATATTCATTGCAGCTCTATTCACAATAGCCAGGATGTGGAAGCAACCTAAGTGTCCATCAACAAATGAATGGATAAAGAAAATGTGGCACAAATACACAATGGTGCACTATTCATCCATAAAATATATGAGATACTGTTATTTACAAAAACATGGATGGACCGTCTGGCCATTATGTTAACTTAAATAAGCCAGGCACAGAAAGACAAACTTGACATGTTCTTACTGATTTGCGGGAACTAAAAATTAAAACAATTGAACTCATGGAGATAGAGAGAGGACAATGGTTACCAGAGGCTGGGAAAGGTAGTTGGAGGTTTAGAGGGAAAGTGGGGATGGTTAATGGGTACAAAAAGTAGTTATATAGAATTAATACGATCTAGTATTTGAAAGCACAACAGTCAATAATAATAATTTAATTGTGAATTTCAAAATAACTAAAAGAGTATAATTGGATGGTTTGTAACACAAAATATAAATGCTTGAGGTGATGAATGCCACATTTACCCTGATATGATTATTACACATTGCATAACTGTATCAAAATATCTCATTTACTCCATAAATACATACACCTCCATGAATACATACACCTCCTATGAACCCACAAAAATTGAAAATAGAAATTTTTACAAAAAGAAAGAAAAAATGCTTATCTTGGGGAAAATGGGAGTGTAGGTATCATTTTATATCATTTTTCTACTTTTCTCTACTGTTTACAGTTTTTAGTGGGAAAGCATTTCTTTTATAACACAGAAAAGAAAAAAACAGCCATTTTCTTACTTTGCTATCTACTCTCTTCCATCTTAGCATTGGAATTTTTAAAAATATTTGAACATGTTGCTGCACAGAATAAATAACCATGTTTTCCCGTTTGCTTTACAGTTAGATATGGCCATGTGACTTAGTTATGGCCAATGAGATGTAAAGGGAAATAGTATATACAATTTTGAGAAAGTTGGATCATTTGGAACTAAAATTGGCTGAAAAAAAAGGGACTTTTTCTTCTATCTTCCATCTTTCCTTGTCAAGTAATGATATTTTAGAATTCCCACAACCATCTTGGATCATGAAGTGAACTTGAAAATAGAAGCACTAAAGAGAGTGATGGAGCAGAACAATAGCAGTCTGGGGCCCTGAATCACAGCGTGGAGCCTTCTTATCTGCTTCAGCTTATCTACCTCCAGACTTCACTTCTCTTTTTCCAGAGATGGAAAATAAAGTTGACCTTGTTTAGGTGATCATTGCTCTAGTTATTGCTTGTTGTATATGCAGAGAAGCCTAAACCTAACTAACGCAAGGAGGTAAAAAATAAATCATCATAATGTTGTTAATAATTTAAAGTAATATAATTTATGATCACATAAATCAACACACAAACGATTTACATAATTTATTTGTAAGAAGAAAGAGCTAATTATTCAGTCCTGGGACTCCTAGCTTCCAATATCAAATCCACCTTTCACAGCAGTATGAATTTACTGCATCTATTGAATCTCAGTGTCTTATTCAATATAATAGGGTGTGCAGTTCCCACATTGATCTCTATCTCCTGGCCTTCATTCTCTTGTGTATTCCTCCCCTTGAGTACAGACTGCAATTATTGTTTCTATTCTGTTCTAATTTATATCTACATTTGTATATGTAGAGAAGCCAAAATCTAAGAAATGAGCTTTAGTTAGGTTTAGGAATATACAACAAGCAACAACTACAGCAACAATCACCTAAATAAGATCAATTAGCTCATAAAAGACCATCATTTCCATCTTTCACTTGCTTGCTCTTTCTCTCTCGCTCCTTCTCTCCTTCCCTCCCTCCCTCATTCTCCTTGGCTCCGTTGCCATGAAGAAGAAGCCAGCTGCTATATCCTGAGCAGCCCTGTAGAGAAGCCCATACTTCATGGCTGAGATCTGAAGCTGTCAGTTCAGCAGCCAGTAAAAAACCTGAAGCCTAATAATCATGTGTGTGACCTTAGTGGATCCTTTGGACTCACTTAAGTCTTGGTATGTCTGCAGCTCTCGCTAACAGCTTATGTGAAACCTCATTAGAGACTTTGAGTCACAGAAATCCAGGCAAACCACTTCCAAATTTCTGACCACAGAAAGTGTGAGAATATAAATCTTGGTTGTTTTCAGTCGTTAAGTTTTGGAGTAATTTGTTATTCAGCAAAACATGGTTTAATTGTATTACATAGAGGTATAAGTATCTCCTCATATATATTTATTTTAATAAAACAGCTTGAACCCTGGTATTCAAGGCTGCAGTGAGCCAAGATTGCACCACTACACTCCAGGCTGGATGACAGAGTGAGATCCTCCCTCTTAAAAAATACATATATAAAAAGAAAAAGAAGCAAAAATGTTTTTATTAAAAATAATTAACAGAAAATTATTTCTGGGAATTTTATCTCTCATTTGCAGAGCATACTCCTCTTTCCACTTTAATTTCTAGATAAAGACTACTAAAATGTCTTATTTATCTTTTTTATAAGTCTTATGTTAGTGTATCATGGTCTTAATATAGAGTAGGCATAACAAAAGTTGCTTCACTATGGGCCATGCTTTAGGTAAGAGTTTTTAACCTCAGCACTACTGACATTTTAGGCCAGAAAACTGGCTAATTATTTGTTGTAGGAGAGTTGTATGGAGGATTGTAGGATATTTAGCTGCAATGCTGGCATTTACACACTAGATATCAACACCATCCCTCCCTCCAAGGTCTGACAATCAAAATTGTCTCCAGAAGTGGTCAAATGTTTCCAAGAGGAGCAGACAAAATTGCACCTGTTTAATGTTTTAATGTCCTGTATTATGGGCAAAAAGAGGGATTTTATTTGCAAGTAATAATTTGAACAGGGTTGAGTGATGTTCTTGGCAGATGGCACATCCTTTCTGCTGAACCTGTTAATGTCAGCCTGAGATGGACTATGACCTCCACAAAGGTAGCACTCAGTGATATGTCTGTGATTGTGCCATAGCTCCCACTCACTCTTTGAGGCAATCAATCATTGCTGATCATGGTCCTGGACAGTCTATATGTGTGTGTGTGTGTGTGAGTGTGTGTGTGTGTGTGTGTGTATTTTTTGTTTGTTTCTTTGTTTGTTTTCCCCAGGGTCTCACAAAACTTTCTAATCTTTTGGGACCTGTTTCTAGTCTATAATAGCGGAGTCAGATTTATCTGTTTTTATTTTCTTTCAAATGTATTCTTTCTAATATAAGCTTCTCCTTTTGGGGCTTAGCCATTTAAATTCTGAGTTAACAAGCTTGTACAAGCCAAAACCTTATGCTTTCAAGCTTAAATTCTCTCCAAAAAGTTAAAGAAGTTTGTTTTTATTTTTACTTCTGTTCTGTGCATATGATTTATCACTCTGATCTATTTTAATGTGAATAGCAATGTAAAATAAGTGGTAGTAGTTGACAGGGAAATAAATCCCTAGTAGTTAGTATATCAAAATATTCCCTCACTACAAATTTAAACAGATTATTTCAAAGTATTGGAAAAAATATAATATTTCAGTGTTGTATGTCTGTGAAATCTGGGTCACATTATTATGAAGCCATGACTCATAAGATTTAGTCTCTAAGGATGGTTGCTATTTTGCAGCATGATTTACAACTGAAAATTAATTAAAAGGAGATTCTATTCTTTTATATGTTACGGAGGCCACTACAGATGGTCCAAATCATTAACTGTCTAGCAAATTTTCTAATATTTCCTTTTAATTTTCAAGCATGGAGAGAGATACATATCTCTTCCTCAATTTGGTTTAATAACTTCTTTTCCTTTTCCCCTCATTCTTTCTTATAGAATTTTTAAGAACAAAAGGGCTTACCTCCAAAAAGGGGCAACACTTTCCTATATGTTGTGAAGAAAAAGAAACAGCTTCAGCGAGATTGCCATCCTCTTTCAGTCCAGGTTGAAGGGAAAGGCTCAGCACATAAAAGCACTAGCAATCTGTGCTGAGTGCTGAGAGAACACCAGAAAGGAAGTTCTCCATCTGTGTAAGGGGAGGAGGGAAATGGGTGGGCCAGGAAAGCATATATGGAGGACGTGGGGTCTTAAAAATGAAAAATGTGCCAGAAGGAGAAAAAAAGAGCTGCAGAAGTGTGATCTTGCACTTCTCTCTTCTCAATCTCTCTCTCTCTCTCTCTGAGACAGGATCTTACTCTGTCGCCCAGGCTGGAGTGCAGTGGCATGATCATAGTTCACTGCAGCCTTGGACTTCTGGGCTCAAGTAATCCTCCTACCTCTCCCTCCTGAGTAGCTGGGACTACAGCTCCACACTACTACAGCTGGGTAATATTTATTTATTTATTTCTGTAGAGATAGAGTCTTACTATGTTAGCCTAGCTGGACTCTAACTCTTGGCCTCAAGCGATCCTGCTGCCTTGGCCTCCCAAAGCACAGACTATAGGTATGAGCCACCACTCTTGACTTTTTGCTTCTCTTCACTCTTCTAACCCTGACTTATCTCCCATGCAACTATTATTTATTACAACTTGTGTTTGTGTGTGGTGTCTGAGTGTACACGGTCTCTTCCCTTATATTACACATTTCTTGAAGGTAAAATTATGTATCACATTTACTTATTATTCCTAAGAAAGCAATTTAATAGATTGTAGATACTTAACAAAGGCTATTTTTTTGCCTGTTGCTGAACCTAATTCCTTTATGCAAAATGTGAATCACATGTGGCTACAGAGAGGCCTTCAAAATCTTCAGCCCATAGAAGGAAAGCACAGTAACTATAACTCACAAGACACTTCTTAACTCATGTGGAGCTTGGAATAGAAGTCTGGAGGAGGGAAATTCCACAAAAGATCACAGATGTATTATTTGCAGATTAGTCAACATATGGCATGTTTAACTGCAGCTCTGAAAAAACAAGACTAAAACTGATGGTTCATTTTTAAAGTCACAAGCTATCGAGGCTTCTAAACATCATTTGAAAATGCCAGTGTTGGCCTGGCGCAGTGGCTCACGCCTGTAATCCCAGCACTTTGGGAGGCCGAGGTGGGTGGATCTCTTGAGGCCGGGAGTTCGAGACCAGCCTGGCAAACTTGGTGAAACCTCGTCTCTACTAAAAATACAAAAATTAGCTGGGCGTGGTGGCGGGTGCCTGTAATCCCAGCTACTTGTGAGGCTGAGGCAAGAGAATCTCTTGAACCTGGGAGGCGGGGACTGCAGTGAGCCGAGATGACACCATTGCACTCCATCCTGGGCCACAAGAGTGAAACTCCATCTCAAAAAAAAAAAAAAAGAAAGAAAGAAAATGCCAGAGTTTTGTTGACTCAAACGAAATTACCTAAAGCATTTTTCACATTTTAAAAATTGAATTGGAAATTCCAAAGTAGTTGAAAGTTTGGAGGGAAAAATGATTTTTTAAGGAGGCCAACTGTTCGTTTCATCATAAAGTCACAATCTACTCCCCCTCTTTCTCCCACAGGAAAAAAAAAAACACAAGATATGAAATAAAACCATTTTAGTATTACACGAAATTTATAATCTTCCTCTTCATTCATCTTGAACAGTAAAAAGAAGCATGGAAATTTAAAAAATAAAAGATTAACATTAAATCCCAGGAAAACATTCAGAATTCACTTTTATTATTGAGATAATTTAACAATGAGGAGGCCTCCTTGCTCTAAATTAGATCATACATTGATCATTCATTTTAATCACAGAGAGACAGAAATTTTAGGACTCCATATGACAGAGTGGACAAAAGGTTTACGTGACTCCTACACCTTATCAATTGCAATGCCCACTTCATTTCCACTGATTACTGTTAGAGGTTTTAAATCTCTACTTGAAGGTGGACAGCTTCAATTTTCTGGAAGATTAAGAACCTCACAGGTGCACTGCATTTGTGCATGGGAAGAACAGATTGCCAAAGCCTCTCATCTGAGACTGGCAGGTTCTACTGCACTGCAATCCCGTTGTTTGAACTATGACTCCATAATGAAATCCAATTACAGTTTCTTTTTTATAGTATTTTAAATCCCCATGGACTATCTCCCTAATATATTTATGGAGATATATGTACTAAAAGCACAAGACAGGCATACTTCTAACCAAAGGAAGAATATCACTCATCTTTCCTCAAGACAGACGTGCATCTAGTTGTTCATAAAGTATAGACCAATACTTTGGTTTAAGGACTGTTTTCATCTTTTATTTGTGTACTAATTTTCTCAAAGAAAAAATATATATCTTGCTGTTACACACTGAATGTTGTGTCTCTTATAGAATTCATAGGTTGAAGACTTAACCCCCAGTGTGGCTGTATTTGTAGATGGGGTCTCTAAGAATTAATTTAGGTTAAATAAGGTAATAAAGGTAGAACCTTGATCTGATAGAATTACTGTCCCTATAAAAAGAGACACCAGGCTGGACTTGGTGGCTCATGCCTGTAATCCCAGCACTTTGGAAGGTTGAGGCCGATGGATCACGAGGTCAGGAGTTCGAGACCTGCCTGACCAACACGGTGAAACTCCTTCTCTATTAAAAACAGAAAAAAATTAGCCAGGCTTGGTGGCATGCACCTGTAATCCCAGCTACTCAGGAGGCTGAGGGAGGAGAATCTCTTGAACCTGAGAGGTGGAGGTTGCAGTGTTGCAGTGAGCCGAAATCACACCACTGCACTGCACTCCAGCCTGGGTGACAAAGCGAGACTTTGTCTAAAAAAAAAAAAAAAAAAAAAGAGAGACACCAAAGAGCTCTCTTACCATATGAGAAGAGATTGGCCATCTGCAAGCCAGAAAGAGAGCTCTCAACAAAAATCAGTGTCCAGATCTTGATCTGGGACTTCCAGCTTCCATAACTGTGAAAAGAAAATTCTGTTGCCTAAGCCACCCAGCATGTGGTATTTGGTTATTGCAGCCTGATCAGACTAATACACTTGCTAATACCATGTAATCTTAGGCTACTTAGAAAAGGCACAATTAGGCTGATGACAATTAGAAACTACCTCTTCTGAATGTTAATTTTATATTTATTTTTTCTAGTATATAATTAAGTGATATTACAGTATGGTTCTTTGTGTTATTCTTTGAAAGTAATTTTGGAAGAGAAAATGTAAGTCAGAGTATTGCAAAACCACAAATTTGAGTTTTTATCTGTAAAATTCTAAGAATTCACATAAATCTTAACATTATTTCCTGTTATCTATAAGTTATCTGAAATTGTTATGTAAGTGACTTAAGATTGATTATATTTCTAATTTTTATTATAACCTACATTATTTGTTTTATTTTTACTTTTTAAAAATTAGTATTTATCTGTTTTACTTGTTCTCATTACATCCCCATCTTTAGTTCATTGCATCTGCCCCCTAGTGCCTTTAAAAGCATTGTATTTGTATAATATTTGGCTATATCTTCCTGATACAGCAAGAGCTCTGGCCTATAGCAATTACATTCTCCCTTGAAGCAACAATTTGATGAAAATTTTGTAAATTGATTGTATCAGGACTTTCCTCATTTACAACTTTATTAAAAAATAATCACCAAATATGCTGAATTTTGTCAAATTGTTGTTCTGAATCTGTTACATCAGGGGATTTTTCTATTTTAATCTCTTAATTCGGTGGATTACATGAATTAATTTTTGTAGTATTAAACAACATCCCTTGCCTTCTGTGATGCCTGTAACTTCCTTGTTATCCATTTTAAAGTAGTTTTAGTTTGCTACTATTTTGTTAGGATACAGCTACATTCATAAAGGAACTTGGAATGAATATATGTATGAAGCTAGAATATGCTTGATACAAAAATTCAAAATAGGGCAGCATGAAAAAGAAAGAAATATATATACATATATATATACATACATAGTGTATATATATATAGTTATCTTTATTCTTATGTGTACATATATATGTGTGTGTATATATATTTTTTCTTTTTCATGCTGTTCAATTTTGAGGTTTGAATCACAAATATGCTAGCTTTATAAAATAAGCTAAGGTTTTTTTCTTCTTTTTATATTATCTAGAAGCATTTTTGTGTAACTGAATTTTTTTTTTTTTAAACATTCGGTAGAAGCTATGAGTAAAGCCACTTGAGCCAGGAGTTTTCTTTGTGGGAAGATGTTTCACTACTTACTCAATTTTATTAATGGTTATGTGATAATTTAGGTTTGCCTATTTCTTCTTTTTTTACTTTTTTATTTTATTTTTGTGGGTACATTGTAGGTACATATGTTTATAAGGTACATGAGATGTTTTGATACAGGCATGCAACGTGTAATAATGACATCATGGAAAATGGAGCATCCATCCCATTGAGCATTTATTCTTTGTGTTAGAGCAATCTAATTATGCTCTTCTAGTATTTTAAAATGTACAATTAGGTTATTATTGACCATAGTCACCCTGCTGTGCTATCAAATAGTAGATCTTATTCTTTTTTTATTATATTTATTCTGAATAAGATTTGCTAACATATACTTTAAAATATTTTGTCTATATTCCTTAAATTCCAAATTTACATGCATAAATCATGTCCTGTTATTTTATATTTTTAAAACTTGCAATTTCTGTAGTGTGTCTTGTTTTAATTCTTGTCATTAACTATTTGGGCTTCTATTTTTTTCAAGCATTTTTCTCTTTTGCACTTTATGAAATTTATTTTTGATTAATTATTTTTCATTTATTTATTATTTATTTTTTCATTTATATTAGCCAGAGTCCACTCATAAAACATGAACATTAGACATATTAAACATATATGTTTGTTTAATGTTAGTCCACCTCCCTGGCCTTCCCAGGATTTCTGTAACTTGCTTATTATCTATTATTTTAAGTTGTTGACTTTGTGTGTGTGCATGTGTGTGTGTGTGATTATATGGATTTGATGTTATGCAATCATGGGAGTTGATTAAACAAACAGTTTCTGTAAGGATGCTGTATTTGTGTCTTGCACTAGAGCTTTAAATTGCAGAGTAGGAAATCAGGAAGGAAAGATTGATGTATGACCAGAAACAATGAGGATAAGCTGAAACCCATAAGTAGAAGGTGGACCCAATGAGGATGCCCTAAGATGTTTCAATCCTTCTGCCTTTCACCTCCTTTAACTTCAGCGATATGGATGTCCTGCAAGACAAAGCAACACCCTGCATCATGGAGTTAAACATGCATTTTTCCCAGTTGTTGGAATAGCTGAAGGAAAATGGTGAAAGGGGAATGAACAGAAGAGGCAGCTGCAGGCTGATTGTAGCCCATGCCAAGGAGGTGAGCCAGCAAATATGAAACTTGTGTAAGCTGCAAGTGTAGTGTACTTGGTAGCCCAATCTTGGATGTAAAAATCCATCACTTTTATCATATGCTATTGCATAAGAGCATTCCTAAATCCAGCCCATCCTGAGAAAAAGGGGAATATGTAACAAGAGGCAGCAAACATTGAGGGGCACCTTACGGGTTTCTTACCAATTGCTTTTCTTTTCAAAACTGCATTGACAAAAAACAAAACAATCTCATATCTCAAGATAAGCAAGTGTCATCAAACTATCAGGAATTATAAACCTTTTCTATATTTTCATAACTTTAAAATTTAAAAAAACATGTTATGCAATGTTTTACTTGTTTCTTTTCTAATACTACTATACATTTTCCAGGTAAACACATATATTTACATAAAACATTAACAATAATAGTAAGAAGAAAGAAAACTAAAATTTGATTTGGCATGAGATAATATTCTTTTAAATTCCTTGTAGTTTATATATCTTTTCTTAAAACAAATGAGCTCATTTCAGCTCAGGCCAATATTTCATACTCTATCTAAAGAGTTCTCTATGAAAATTTGCAAGATATTCCAGGTGGCATAACTCTAAAGATATTTGAAAGACAGGTATCAAGCAGGCTGTAAATTTCTTCATTTATCTTTTCTCCTCTATATACTTAATAAGGACATCCTGAACAGCAGTCCAAGCTGTCCTGCTTCAAAAGGCAAAAGTATAACAGCCAGTGATTTTTATGAGTACCTTGGAGACCAAGTTGAAAAAATAGATGTAGCCAAATACTATCTAAATTATCTCCATATAAAAGTAAATATTTTTCTTACTTTTCTATGGAACATAAATAATTTTAAAACTCATATATCACTCTTTATCACCTTGCTATCCAAAGTGTCAATTAAACATTTTTGGGAAGCTTGTGCAGCTACCCATATAAAGAAACTCCATTTAATATTTAACTAAGATGTGGATAACTTTCACTCAAATTTACTAAGATAGTTAATCAGAATGTTGTAAAATATATTCTATAGCCTATTGTCTTTTTAAAATTTTATTTTAATTTCAAGTTGGTTGCAGGGATAAATTCTTTAGGGGTGATTTCTGAGATTTTGGAGCATCTGTCACTTAAGCAGTGTACACTGTACCCAATATGTAGTCTTTCATCCCTCACTCATTCCCAACCCTTATCATCTGAGTTGACAAATTTCATTATTATTATTATTATTATTAAGAGACAGAATCTTGCTCTGTCACTCAGGCTGGGGTGCAGTGACATGATCTCGGCCCACTGCAACCTCCACCTCCCAGGTTCAAGTGATTCTCGTGCCTCAGTCTCCTGAGTAGGTGAGATTACAGGTGTGAGCCACCATACCCTGCTAATATTTTGTATTTTTAGTAAAGACAGGGTTTTGCTATTTTGGCCAGGCTGGTCTCAAACTCCTGGGCTCAATTGATCCACCCTCGTTGGCCTCCATTACATCATTCTTATGCCTTTGTGTCCTCAGGGCTTGGCTCTCACTTATAAGTGAGAACATACAATATTTGCATTTTCCATTTCTGAGTTACTTCACTTAGAATAATGGCCTCCAGCTCCATCCAAGTTGCTGCAGAAGACACTATTTAGTTCCTTTTTATGGCTGAGTAGTATTCCATGGTGTATATATACCACATTTTGTTTATCTACTTGTTTGAAAGGCATTGAGGTTAGTTCCATATTTTGCAATTGCACATTGTGCTGCTATAAACATGTGTGTGTATGGGTCTTTTTCATAAATGATTTCTTTTTCTTTGGGTAGATACCCCAGTAGTGAGATTGCCAGATCGAATGGTAGTTCTACAAATCTACATACTGTTTTCCATAGTGGCTGTACTAGTTTACATTCCCAACATCAGTACAAAAGTGTTTGCCTTTCACCACATTGGTGCCAATATCTATTATTACTTTCTAATTATGGCCATTCTTGCAGGAGTAAGGTGGTATCTCCCTAGGGTTTTAATTTGCATTTCCCTGATAATTAGTGATGCTGAGCATTTTTTATATGTTTGTTGGCTGTTTGTATATCTTATTTTAAGAATTGTTTATTCATGTCCTTAGCCCACGTTTTGATGGCATTATTTGTTTTTTTCTTGCTGAACTGTTTGAGTTAGTTCCTTGTAGATTCTGGATATTATTCCTCTGCTGGATGCATAGTTTACAAAGATTTTCTCCCACTTTGTTGATTGTCTGTTTACTCTTCTGATGATTTATTTCTCTGTGTAGAAGCTCTTTAGTTTAATTTGGTCCCATTTATTTACTTTTGTTTTTGTTGCATTTGCTTTTGAGGTCTTAGTCATGAATTATTTCCCTAAGCCAACATCTAGAAGAGTTTTGCCGATGTTATCTTCTAGAATTTTTATGATTGCAGGACTTAGATTTAAGTATTTGATCCATCTTGAGTTGATTTTTATATAAGGTGAGAGATGAGGATCCAGTTTCATTTTTCTACATGGGGCTTCCCAAGTATCCCAGCACCATTTATTGAATAGTATATCCTTTCCCCACTTTATATTTTTGTATGCTTTGTCAAAGATCAGTTGGCTATAAGTACTCGGCTTTATTTCTGGGTTCTCTATTCTGCTCCAATGGTCTACATGCCTATTTTTATTCCAGTACTATGCTGTTTGGGTAACTTAAAGCCTTGTAGCATAATTTGAAGTTGAGTAATGTGATGCCTCCAGATTTGTTCTTTTTGCTTAGTATTGCTTTGGCTATGCAAGTTCTTTTTTGGTTCCATATGAATTTTAGGATTGTTTCTTATAGTTTTGTGAAGAATAACGATGGTATTGTGATGGGAATTCCACTGAATCTGAGAATTGCTTTGGGCAGTATGGTCATTTTCACAATATTGATTCTACCCATCCATGAGCATGGGATGTGTTTCCATTTGTCTGTGTTGTCTATAATATCTGACAGTAGTGTTTTGTCATTTTCCTTGTAGAGATTTTTTACCTCCTTGGTTAATTATATTTCTAAGTACTTTTTTCTTTTCATAGCTTTTATAAAAGGGATTGAGTTCTTGATTTGATTATCAGCTTGGTCATTGTTGGTGTATAGCACTGCTACTGATTTGTGTACATTGATTTTGTATTCTGGGACTTTTCTGAATTCATTTATCAGGTCTAGGAGGTTTTTGGATGAGTCTTTAGGGTTTTCTAGTTATATGATCATGTGATCTGTGAACAGCGACAGTTTGACTTCCTCTTTTCCAATTTGGATGCACTTTATTTCTTTATCTTGTCTAATTACTCTGGCCAGAACTTCCAGTACTATGTTGAATCAAAGTGGTAAAAGTGAGCATTTCTTGTCTCATACCAGCTCTCAGGGGGAATGCTTTCAACTTTTCCCCATTTGGTAGGATGTTGGCTGTGGGTTTGACTTTTAGTTTCTATTTTATTATTATTATTATTTTGAGACGGATTCCCACTCTGTTGCCCAGGCTGGAGTACAGTGCGCGATCTCGACTCACTGCAACCTCCGCCTCTCAGGTTCAAGCAATTCTCTGCCTCAGCCTCCCGAGTAGCTGGGATTACAGGCACCCACTACCATGCCTGGCTAATTTTTGTATTTTTAGTAGAGACGGGGTTTCACCATCTTGGCCAGGCTGGTCTTGAACTCCTGACCTTGTGATCCATCCGCCTTGGCCTACCAAAATGCTGGGATTACAAGTACACGAGCCCCACCGCACCTGGCCGTGACTTTTATTACATTGAAGTATGTCCTTTCTATGCCTGTTTAGTTGAGGGTTTTTATCACAAAAGGATGCTGGATTTTATCAAATGCTTTTTCTGCATCTATTGAGATGATCGTATGACTTTTGTTTTTAATTCTGTTTATGTGTCTATCTGTGCTCTTTCAGACTCTTGATGTAGGCATTTAATGCTATGAACTTTCCTCTTAGCACTCCTTTTGCTGTATCCCAGAGATTTTAATAGGTTGTGTCACTATTATCATTCATTTCAAAAACTTTAAATTCCCATCTTGATTTCCTGGTTAACCCAAAAATCATTCAAGAGCAGATTATTTAATTTTCATGTATTTGTATAGTTTTGAGGGTTTCTTCTGGGGTTCATTTCCAGTTTTATTCCACTGTGATCCGAGAAGATACTTAATCTGATTTCAGTTTTCTTAAATTGATTGAGACTTGTTTTGTGGCCTATAATGTAGTATACCTTGGAGAATGTTCTATGTGCTGATGAGAAGAATGTACATTCTGCACTTGTTGGAAAGAATGTTCTGTAAACTTCTGTTAAATTCATTTGTTCTAGGGTATAGTTTAAGTCCATTGTTTCTTTGTTGACTTCCTGTCTTGATGATCTGTCTAGTGTTGTCAGTGGGGTATTAAAGTTTCTGACTATTAGAGTGTAGCTGTCTATCTCATTACTTAGGTCTAGTAGTAATTTTATAATAATTTTTATATGTTTATAATTATTTGTATATGTTTTATAAGTTTGGGAGCTCCAGTGTTAGGTGCATAGAAATTTAGGATTTTAATATCTTCCTGTTGGACTAATGCTAATTCCAGAAAGCATTAAGAGCATTTGGTGTAAAGTCAATAGACATGTGATAGACATTGTTTAAAACTTGAACTTTTGATTTTGCAGCCACTTAATTGTTCTCAAAAGGACCTGATGAAATCTTCTACATTGACATGTGTATACACTCTTAACAGACGGCATCTTGTGCCCAGAATATTCTCAAGGAGGAGGAAAATTTACTTAAGTTGTGTATTAGTCTGTTCTCACACTACTAGTAAGACATACCCCAAAAATGGGTAATTTATAACTAAAAGAGGTATAATGAACTCACAGTTCCACGTGGCTGGGGAGGCCTCAAAATCTTGGTGGAAGGCAAAGGGGAGGCAAAAGCATGTCTTACACGGCAGAAGGCAAGAGAGAATGTGTGCAGGGGAACTCCCCTTTATAAAACCACCAGATCTCGTGAGACTTATTCACTACCATGAGAACAACACAGAAAGACCTGCCCCATGATTCAATTACCTCCCACTGGGTCCCTCTCATGACACATGGGAATTATGGGACCTACAGTTCAAGATAAGATTTGGGTGGGAACACAGCCAAACCATGTCAGGCTGTCACTGTGTCATCTTCAAAGGAAAGATTCTAATTTTGGTAGTTACCGATTAATAATGGGTCTAAACTAACTTAGGGCGACTATAGCTTGACATCAATACCTCAGCATTCAATGGGTTTGAGGAGTTCTATCTTCAGGAAAGAAAGGATCTGTATTAAAATTTTTTCAGGTCTTTTATTTTGTCCAAAGCTAAACAGCAATTGTATGTCTTAACAGGTAAGGGTAAGTGTGATTTTTTTGGTGTCATTTCTTGTTTCCTAAAGTCTTCTTCTGAAAACTGATCAAGTCAAGTGTTTGCTAAGGAAAACATCACTTCATTGTTTTTGTTTGTTTTTAACAGCATCTTTTGGATTGTATGTGTCTTTCAAATTTTAAAGAGTAATACTTGCTCATTGTAGAAAACTTAAGAAACACGGGAAAAATACTGAAATTTAATTTTCAGAAATCATTCATAAGCCACCATTCACATTTTGATGTTTTCACTTTCAGAGGTATGTGTGTATATACAAGTTATCTATCTATCTATCTATCTACTCATATCGCAAATTCTGTTTTCCAGGCTGCTTTTTATCCCTCTTAATTAAACATGGTAAATCAGCTTATTGAGTGGTAAATATTCTCATACATTCTGATTTTTAACAGTTGCATAATGTTTAGTTACAAGGAAATGACTTGAACAATCTCTTACTTTTACATAGTTACCTTATAATTTTTCAGTTTGTTATCATAAAATTTTCTGCAATGATTATCATATATAAATATTAGCTTACATCTCTGTTCATTGATTTCCACATAATAATTAACTAAAAGTAAAATTGCTATGAAACAGGACATGTTATATTGATATTGTGATCAAATCTGCATGCCACTTATTTTTACCAAAATAAGGGAATAAGACAAAGCATAACTTAGCAAAACATACATTAATAATGAATACACTGGCCAGGAACAGTGGCTCATGCCTATACTCCCAGCACTTTGTGGGGCCAAGGCTGGCAGATCACCTGAGGTCAGGAGTTCAAGACTGGCCTGGCCAACACGGTGAAACCCTGTGTCTAATACAAATACAAAAATTAGCCAGGTGTGGCACATGTCTTCAATCCCAGCTACTGGGGGAGCTGAGACAGGATAATTACTTGAACCGGGGAGACAGAGGTTGTAGTGAGCTTAGATTGCACCACTCACTGTACTCTAGACTGGGACAAAGAGTGAGACTTCGTCTCAAATAAATAAATAAATACACCAACATTCATAAAATAGAAATATAAGAATGCTTTGAATAAAGATGGATGTCAGGGTAGGAAAAATTGTCCCTTTTCTGCATTTGTGATAAGCCAAATCAAATGGAAAATTACTTCAGACATCGAGTTTTCTACTCAATTTGTTGCTTTGTTCAGAGAAAAAAATAAAAGCAATGATTCATTTAACAAATTACTATCCAAATCAAAAGTATGATAATTGTGCTCTCTTTTTAGCAAATTATAATTACAGTTAATCTGCATGGAACTTTTCTATTTGTCAAACATGTTACAGGTCTAAGCTAAATAAATGTTTCAGTAATTTTTAGGAAGGCTATCCTCTGTTGTTGCTATTTAACAGATAAAGGAAAAACTGCAGCTTAGAAAATCACTCATCCAAAATCAAGCAGAACTTTTATTTGAATTCTGACATTCTGATACTAGAGCCCAAAAAGAAGTTTACCAAATTCAAAAATGTGTCAAAAAGATAATACACCACGATCAAGTGGGATTAACCACAGGGATGTAAGGATGGTTCAACATAAGCAAATCAATAAATGTGATACATAACATCAACAAAATGAAGAACAAAACCCACATGATCATATCAGTAAATCAAAGAAATTATTATTCAACATCCCTTCATGATGAAAAGTTTCAGCCAATTAGGTAATGAAAGAACATACTGCATTATAATAAAGGCCATATAAGACAAATGTATGGCTAACATCATACTAAATTGGAACAAGACAAGAATGCTCACTTTCAACACTCTTATTCAATACAGTACTGAAAGTTCTATCCAGAGCAATAAGGGAAGATAAAGAAAAAAAGGGCATCCAAATTGGAAAAGCTGTAGTAACATTGTTTCTATTCACAGGGACATGATCTTATACATAGAGAAACCTAAAGACTCCATCAACAAACTCTCAGAACTGATAAAACCATTTCGTAAATGACATGGTTTGGCTGTGTCCCCACTCAGATCTCATTTGAATTGTAGTTCTCATAATCCCCACGTGTTGTGGGATGGACCCAGTGGAAGGTAATGTAATTATGGAGCAATTACCCTCATGCTGTTCTCATGATAGTGAGTGAGTTCTCAAAAGGGCTGATGGTTTTATAACAGGCTTTCTCCCTTTTCATCAACATTTCCCCTTGCTGCTGCCATGTGAAGAAAGATGTGTTTGCTTCCCCTTCTGCCATGATTGTAAGTCTCCTGAGGCTTCCCCAGTCATGCTGAGCAGTGAGTCAATTAAACATCTTTCCTTTATAAATTACCCAGTCTTGGGTATGTCTTTATTAGCAACTTGAGAATAGACTAATACAGTAAATTTGCATGATACTAAATCAACATTAACAAAATCAGTAGCATTTCAATGTGCAGATAAAAAACCAACTGAAAAAGATATCAAGAAAGCAATGCCATTTACAGTAGTTACAGACAAATAGAATAAAATATTCAAACAAGGAGTTGAAAAATCTTTAAAAGGAAAAGTATAAAATACTGATAAAAGAAATTGAAGAAGACACACAAAAACAACGAAAAAACATCTCATGTTCATGGATTGGAAGAATTAATATCATGAAAATGACTATTCTACCCAAAGTAATCTACCAATTCATTGAAATACTTATCAAAATATCAATGACAGTCTTCCCAGAATTAGAAAAAATAACCCTAAAATTTGTATGGAACCACATAAGACCCCAAATAGTTGAAGCAATACTGAGCAAAAAGAACAAAGCTGGAGGCATAACACTCCTGACATCAAAACTTATTACAAGGCAATAGTAACCAGAACAGAGTGGTATTACTATAAAAGTAGACACATAGACAAGTGGAACAGAATAAAAAGCCCAGAAATAAATCCACATATTTACAGCCTATTATTTTTGACAAAGCTGCCAAGAACCTACATTAAGGAAAGAGCAGCTTCTTTAATAAATGGTGCTGAGAAAACTGACTAACCATATGCTGAAGAATAAAACTGAACCTATCTCTCATCGTATACAAAAGTCAACTCAACATGAATTAAAGACTTAAATGTCCAACTTAAAACTATAAAACTATAAGAAGGAAACAAAAAAACTCTTCAAGACATAGGTCTAGGCAAATATTTTATGGCTAAGATTTCAGAAGTACAGGCAACAAAAGCAAAAACAAATGGGACTATATTAAGCTAAGAAGCTTCTACATAGCAAAGGAAGCAATCAACAGAGTAAAGAGACAACCCACAGAATAAGAGAAAATGTTTGCAGGCTATACATTCAACAAGAGAGTAATATCCAAAATGTGTGAGAAATTCCAACAACTTAACAGGAAAAAATGAATAATCTGGTTTAAAAGTGGGCAAAGAATTTTCATAGAATTTCTCAAAGAAAAGATATGGAAATGGCCGACACATTTATGAAATAATCTTCACCATAATTAATCATCAGGTAAATGCAAATCAAAACCAGGAGATCTTATATCACTCCAGTTAGAATGGCTATTATAAAAAAGACAAAAATAACAAATGCTGGCAAGGATGTAGAGAAAAGGGAACTCTTACACACTGCTGGTGGGAATGTAAATTAGTACAACCAGTATGGAAAACAGTATGGAGATTTCTTGAAAAACTCAGACTACCAAACGATGCAGCAATCCCACTGCTGGGTACTTATTCAAAGGAAAGAAAATCAGTATATTGATGCAATATCTGCAACCCCATGTTTATTGCAAAATTATTCACAATAGTTAATATATGAAATCAACCTAAAAGTTCATTAACAGATGAATAGATAAAAAACGTGGTGTACATACACAACTGAATACTATTGAGTCACAATAAAAATAAAATGTTGTCATTCATGGCAACATGGATAACCCTGGAGGACATTGTGTTAAGTGAAAGAAGTCAAGCACAAAAAGAAAAATACTGCATATTCTAATTCATATGTGAGAACTAAAAAAAAGTTGAGCTTATAGAAGGGAGATTAAAATTATGGTTACTATAGGCTGGGAAGCATAAAAATGACAAGTAGAAACAGAGGTTGGTTAATAGGAACAAAATTGTAGCTAGATGGAAGGAATAATTTCTAGTGCTCTATAGCACTGCATGGTGAATATAGTGAACAATAATGTATATGTTCAAAAGCTAAAAGAGAGGATATTGAATGTTCAAAACACAAAGGATTGATAAATATTTGAGGTGATGGATATGTTACTTACCCTGATTTCATCATTATATCCTGTATGCATCTATCAACATATCACTGTATCCCATAAATATGTACTATTATTATGTGTCACCTAAAAATAAAAGGAACAAAATTAGAAATTTACTTATGTGACTATATGCTTATCATTTCACCTTATTTTTCTTCTGTGTATCAATACTGAAAAGTTAATTATGAGAGATAAAAGCAGAGACCTAGGTATAGAAAGAATCATTAGCAGCTGACTTATATACATTGATATTTACATACATTAATTCACATTTCAATTTTTATCATCACCTACACAGCTTACCTATATTACAATTGCTACTATCTGTTTTTCTTATTGTTTTTAGATTAAGAAATAACATATAATGTGTGTATACCTTAGATGTATAGCTTTATAAACTTTTACATATGATTAGTACCTGTAACTACTATTTTGATTAAAATTTTGAACATCTTTCAAGACCAAAAAGGATCTATTATTCCACTTCGAAACATTATCCCCTTTTTAAATGTAATCACTATTCTGGCCACTAACACAACAGCTTAGTTTGCCCTCTATAAAATCCATGTTAATGAAATCATATAGTATAGAGTATACTTATTTTAGCTTTCTTAGAAATTTTCCAATTGTTTTCCGAAGTGATGGTACAAATGTACTAGTGATGTAATTGACACCACATTGGTAACCCTTGGTATTGTCAATCTTTTTAATATTAGTTATTCTGTTGACGCATAGTTGTATGGCATTCTGTTAATGATTTGTATCTCTGGTGATTAATCCTGCTCATTTTTTATTAGTTATTCAGCTGATGAACTTGATATGATAACCCATTTGTGGCTTTGGCAATTTTTTTAAGATGAGTTGTTTGTTTTTTCTAAGTAGTGGGTTTTGGGGGTTTTTTATGTTTTTATCTCTTTGGCTACAGTGTTTTGTCATTTTTCTCTCTTCTTTAGTACAGTTATTATTTTTTAATGCTATGTGAAATAAAAATATTTGTATTTGCAAAGTAGTGAAGATATTCTCTAACATTTTCGCCTAGAAGATTTATGATTTTAGCTTTCACATATACATTTTCAATTCATATTGGATTATTTTTGTATATGGTATAAGATAGGCATCAGTTAATTTTTCCCATTTTTTTCATTTACGCCAGCAACATTTATTGAATATCCACTTATTTTCCCTTTACATATAATAATATCTCATTTATGAAATATTAAATATGCATATATGTAGGTATATTTCCAGGATTTCTACTTAATTTCTTTGGTCTAATTGTGCTACCTTACCCTAATCTTATACTGCCTTAATTACTGTAGGGTTATGTAAAGTCCAGAAATCTAGTGCTGTAACTTTTCCAACTTGGTTCTTCTTTAAGCTCGCATTAGTTAGTGCTTCCGGTACAACGTTGAATGTGAGTAATGAGTTAGGCTACCTAGATATATTTTACAGTGGTTACTTGTCACCTTCCCTGCTAGAGATATGAGGGGATCTCTGGCTTTTCACTATGAGAACTTGGTGGGAATCCTGATGATAAAACTCACCATAATGTAGGACGTCCCTTAAGACTGCAATGGGAGTTTCACACCGTATAGCTTGTTCACACTCAACCTTCAGCCATTTATCAAAATTGCTACTTAGGTGATTACAAATTTATGACTCCAGGAGAGCATATATCTCAGCTGTTCTTCTCTGATTTGAGGTGGCAGTCTGCTCTGTGAACTTAGTTCTGTGATGGCCATAGGAAAATTATTGCTAAATGTTTCTCTTGATTTTTCTTGTTCTCAGGATAGCAGTGACAACTTTCAACTCTATATATTGGAACTGAAATTGGAAATTCTCTGCCAGATACATATAATATGACAACTGTTCAAGTTGCAATCAAGTCTACTATTTTTCTTTTTTTATATGTTTTCATTTCTTTCATTTTTGTCACATTCTTCGAGATTAAGTATTTTAATTGTTTCATTTTATTTCTTTATTAGCTCTTTAATCACATTTGATTTTGTTACTCATTTTATTCTTTTAATGGTTACTCTATAGATTAAATTATGTGTCCTAGGTTTATTCACACTATTGATTAAATTCATTTATTTGCTGCTTCCCAGAGAATGTAAGAAACTTACAACATTATAACTTCACTTACCACTTCCTAATCTTTTGTGCTAAATATAATTTTAATATATTATAAACTTCATAGGATATTATTATTTTTCTTTTAATAAATAGCTAATATTCAATTATATTTATCACTGTACTTAACTTTCTAGTCTTTTTGTATTTTTTTTTCTTAGAGTTTTGTGCTTTCATTTGTGATAATTTTCTCTTTAATTTAAATAATTTCATCCTGCTGGCAAGAAACTATTGAAAAATATGAGCTTTTTAATAAAAAAACACAATTCCTTTCAAAAAACTTTACTTACTGAAGAAGAGTTTATCCGCATATAATTCTGAGTTGGCAGCACTTTTATCTCTTTAAAGATTATCTGAATTTTTTTAGATTTTTTAAAAGGTTTATCATTGGTCTATTATTCCTTCCTTTTAAATTTTTTTAAAATTTTTTAATCTGGCTACGTTTAAGATGTCAGCTTTTTGACTATCATATGCTTAGGTATGGTTTGTTTGTATTTATTTATTCTGTACCGGGCTTGCTAAATTTTTTGAATCTGTGGGTTGATGTTTTGATCATATTAAGAAAAATACTGAACAATATTTTTTCAAATGTTATTTATGCTCAGTGTTAACATTCTTTTTTTTAGGAACTCAAAAATAAATGTATATTATATATATGACCGTAGTTCACATTTCTTAGAAACTATTTTTTGTTCTTTTCTGTCTACTCTGGATCTCTTCCATTAATTTGTCTTTTACTTTTCAAATCATTTTTTCTTCTATCTCCACTCTCCTCTTAAAACCACCCAAGTTCTTAAGTTCAAATATTGTATTTTGCCATCCCAAAAATGTCCATATGACTTTTTAAATGGATTCTCAGTTGTCTCTAACATAGGATTATAGTTATGCTGATGCCTTTGTCTACAATATCCAGTGTTTTGAACATCTTCGGTCATAATTTTACTGTCTTTTTTTCCTCTTTATTAGCTGCTGCTTTTTCTTTCTTTCATAGTTTTTTTATTGCATTGGATATCATGGAAGATATGTGGTGGGTATATATTATATAACTTTTATTTAAGGAGCATTCTGAAGTACGCCCAGAGACAGTGGACCTGGGGGACATGCGACATACTGAGACACCAGCTGGGGCAGTCAAGGAAGCGGTGGCATCACCCATCCCTAAACCCAGGCTGCACAGCTCACATGGCTCCAAAAGAGATCTGTCGGACAGTGATCAGTCAGGTAATACAAGTGAATCACTTTGTATCAAACTTTGGTTTTAGGCTTTGTTGAGTATTTTTTTTTTCTTAAAAATATGGCATGATCATAATCCTAGATTATGCCTTCATTGGAGTTTCAACTGAACCCCACAGTGTCTATCAATGTCTCTTTAGTTGGGCACAGAACTTAAGCTCTCTCATCCAAAATGGAGGCATATAAATAGAAAAAACAACAACTTAAGCTCTATCTCCCCAATACTGTATAAGCTCTGAAATGTTTGCCTGGATCTCCAGCTTCCCAGTGGTTCTGCCTTCCAGACCTCCTGAAGTTTTCCCCTGTAGATGTGTAGGAGTTGGTAAAGACATTAACAAGGTTGTTTACAAAGATTTTTGGAGACTCTTTCTTGCTTCCTTCTCTCTAGGACCAGGTTTCCCAAATCCCAACTGTCTGGCCAGTTCTCAATACTAAATCTATGTTCCCTGCCTGCAGAGACCACTGTTCTCTGCTTAACAACCTATTTTCCTACACCACATTTTAGAGCAGGGATTGACAAATATTTTAGTGGGGAATGTAATTTGCTGATCCCTGTTTTCGTGGGTTCTCAGGACAAAAGCCACAGTAAAAGTGAAGTTCAACTCTTGTACCTCCCTTATTTCAATAATTTTATGTGTTATCCAGAAAATATAAAACAGACACCTGATTGCTTGGAGATATTCCGCCGGGATTTTATAGTTTTTTAAAGTGTGTGTATGTGTGTGTGTGTGTGTGATTTACAGTGATTTGGTCTGATGTCATTTTATGCCATCTTTTATAGAACCAGTTGTGTGGTCTTATTATTTTCACATAAAGCTTGTAGTTAAATTATAAGAAAAGATAAATATGACTCGCTGTAATTCTACATGTTCTCTGATTACTTCAAAGGAAGACAGATGTAAGGCATAAAGTTTAGAGAGGGTAGAAGGTGAGGATGAAGGCAAAATAAAACAATGGGAGGGCGGGTGAGCTCTTTCTCATACATTGTATTGATCAACCAGAGAAGTTGTACAGTTCTGTCCCTCTGCCTCAAAAGATGAAGATATAAGCAAGTACCATGTCCTTTTTCTTAGAGCTCTTTTATTTGTTGTGAATCATTTCTCATTTAATTAGCATCAATCTTACACATACTCTGATCAGAGCTAAACATAAATATCTCAGAGCAATATGTAGATAATAGGAAGCTTGCTTGAAGTTTGAAATTCTCTTAACTATTTCCCATTTCCATTAACATATATAACTGATAGAGGCTGTTAGAATCTCCTCATCTTTTTTTATAAAAGAATGTCTGCATTAAGAATACATTAGAGAGCGAGGCAGAGCAAAATGGAGGAATAGAACTCTCCACTGATCACCTACCTCCACCCCCAGAAAAACACAAATTTAACAAGTATTTACACACACACACACACATAAAACACTTTCGTAAGAACCAAAAATCAGGTGAGTACTCATAGTATTAGGTTTTAACTTCATATCACTGAAAGAGGCACTGAGAAGATAGCAAAAACAGTCTTGAGTCTCAACACCATACCTCCCCGACCCCCAGTATCACTTGTGTGATCAGAGAGCTTCTCTGGATGCTGAGAGGTGGAAAATACAGCAATTTTGAGGGATTGAACTCAGTGCTGTCCTGTTAGAGCTGAAAGAAAAACTGGACCAACTTGAGGTGATGCCTGCCCGCAGAGGGAGCATTTAAACCAGCCCTAGCCATAGGGGAATCGCCAATTCTAGAGGTTCAAACTTGAGTGCCGGCAAACCTTGCCACCCAGGGCTGCCGTGTTCTGTGCTTTCAAGTAAATTTGAAAGGCATTCTAGACCACAAGGATGGCAAAACCTAGATGAGTCCTAAGGCTGAAGTACGCCCAGAGACAGTGGACCTGGGTGACATGCAACATACTGAGACACCAGTTGGGGCAACTGAGAAAGTGCTGGCATTGCCCCTCCCTAAACCCAGGCTGCACAGCTCACATGGCTCCAAAACAGACCCCTTCCTTCTACTTGAAGAGGAGAAGAGAGGACAGGAGAGGAGAGGAGAGGGAAATGTGGGGAGGACTTAATCTTGCATCTTGGATACCAGCTCAGCAATAGTAGGATAAGGCAATGATCAGAGACATGAGGCTCCCATTCCAGACCCTAGCTAGCAGATGACATTTTCAGACACACTCTCGGCCAGAAGGGAACTCTCTGCCTTGAAGGGAAGGACCCAGTCCTGGAAGGATTCTTCAGTTGCTAACTGGAGAGCTCTTGGGCCCTGAATAATCAGCAGCAATACCTAGGTATTACATCAAGATCCTTGAAAGAGCCTCTGAGATTTGCTGGCTTCAGGTGAGACTCAGCACATTCTCAGCTGTAGTGGTTATGGTGCAAAACTCCTTCTTCTTAAGAAAAGCAGAGAGTAAAGTAAAAGGGACTTTGTCTTGCACCTTAGGTATCAGGAGACCTACAGTGGGTAGAGCACCAAGCAGGCTCTTGGTGTCCCTGATTCCAGGACATCAACATCCCTTCATGATAAATATCCTTCATCATATTCAACATCCCTTCATGAATTCAACATCCCTTCATGATAAAAGCCCTCAAAAAACTGGGATGGAAGAACATGCCTCAACTTAATAAAAACCATATGTGACAGACCATTCAGCTAGTATCATACTGAATGAGAAAAATCTGAAAGCCTTTCCTTTAAGATCTGGAACACGACAAGGATGCCCAGTGTCATCATTGTTATTCAACATGTTACTGGAAGCCCTAACTAGAGCAATCAGACAAGAGAAATAAATAAAGGGCATCCAAATTGGAAAGGAAGAAGTCAAACTGTCTTGTTTGCAGAAGAAATTATCTTATATTTGGAAAAACCTAAAGACTCCACGAGGAAACTCTTAGAACTGATTCATTTAGTAAAGTTGCAGGATAGAAAATCAACATGAAACAGTCAGTAGCATCACTATATTCCAACAATGAACAATGTGAAAAAAGAAGTTTAAAAAGTAATCCCATTTATGATAGCCACACATAAAATTAAATACATAGGAGTTAACTTAACCATACAAAACACTGATGAAAGAAATTGAAGAAAACACCAAAAAACGGAAATATATTTCATGTTCATGGATTTTCAGAATCAATATTGTTAACATGTTCATACTACCCAAAGCAATCTACAGATTTGATGCAATCCCTATCAAAATACCTATCATACTCTTCAGAGAAAAAGAAACAAATACTAAAATTTATATGGAATCACAAAAGACCCAGAATAGCCAAAGTTATTCTAAGCAAAAAGAAAAAACATACTGGAAGAATAACATTACTTGACCTCAAGTTATGCTACAGAGCTATAGTAATCAAAACAGCATGGTACTGACATAAAAAACAAACACATAGACGAATGGAACAGAATAGAGAACTCAGAAACCAATACACACATCCACAGTGAACTCATTTTTGACAAAGCTACCAAAAAATACACTGGGGAAGAGACAGTCTCTTTAATAAATTGTGCTGGGAAAACTTGATATTCATAGGCAGAAGAATTAAACTAGACTTTTATGTATCACCATATACAAAAATCAAATAAAAATGGATTAAAGACTTAAATCTAAGACCTTAAACTATGAAACTATGAAAAGAAAATATTGAGGAAAATCTACAGGACACTTGTCTGGGCAAGAATTCTATGGCAATACCCCACAAATACAGACAACAGAAGCAAAAATGGGGACAAATGAGATCACATCAAGTTAAAAAGCTTCTACACAGCAAAGGATACAATAAACAAAGTGAAGGGAAAGCCCACAGAATGGGAGAAAATATTTGCAAACTACCCATCTGACAAGGGATTAATAACAAGAATATAACAGGAGCTCTAACAAACCTACAGGAAAAAAAAAAAAAAAAAAAAAAAACTAATACTCCGAACAAAAAGGAGGCAAAAGATTTGAGTAGACACGTCTCAGAAGGAAGACATACAAATAGCAAACAGCCATATGAAAAGGTACATCATCAGAGAAATGCAAACGAAAACTACAATGAGATATATCATATCATGCAGGTAAAATGACTTATATACAAAAGACAGGCCATAACAAATATTTGCGAGGATATGGAGAAAAGGGAACACTTTTCTGCATTTGGTAGAAATGTAAATTAGTACAACCACTATGAAGAACAGACAGGAGGTTCCTCAATATACTAAAATCTGAACTATCATATGAATCAGCAATCCCATCGCTGGGTATCTACCCAAAATAAAGGAAATCAGTATATCGAAGAGATATCTGCACTCCTGTGTTTGTTGCAGCACTGTTTACAATAGCTAAGATTTGGAAGCAAGCTACGTGTCCACCAACACATGAATTGATAAAGAAAATGTGGTACATATACACAATGAAGTACACAATGGAGTTCAGCCATAAAAAGGGCTGAGATTTAGTAATTTGCAGCAACGTGGATGGAACTGGAGACCATTATGTTAAGTGAAGTTAGCCAGGCACAGAAAGACAAACATCGCATGTTCTCACTTATTTGTGGAATTTAAAAATCAAAACAATTGAACTCATGGACAAAGACAATAGAAGGCTAATTACCAGAGGCTGAGAATGTTAGTGGAAAGTGGCGGGGAAGTAGGTATAGTTAATGGGAACAAAAAATAACTAGAAAGAATTAATAAGACCTACTATTTGATCACACAACAGGATAACTGTAATTAATAATAATTTAATTGTGCTTTTAAAAATAACTGAAAGAGGGTAATTGGATTGTTTGTAACTCAAAGGATAAATGCTTGAGAAGATGGATACCCCATTCTCCATGATGTACTTATTTCACTTTGCATGTCTGTATTAAAACATTTCATGTATCCCATAAATATATATACCTACCATGTACCCACAAAAATTAAAAATAAAAACAGTGAAAGGGAATACATCACAAAATGCCTTCAGAGAAAGTTGTGTTCTGGAGCTTAATAATGTTACTTAAGAAGAAACGTTACCTAATAAAGTTTTTAACCTGAGGCTCAAATTTCTTGAATATTAATTAAATTCTTCAAGGAAGACATTTTTCAAACCCAAAGAAATGAAAATAAGTGACACTTTTTCCTAAGTAGCTAGGAAAATTTGGGGAAAAAACTCCAGAAAACTTATTTAGAGGCAATACTTATGTCTCAAGTAATGTAGGTATTCAAACTCTGAGCATAATTCAGCTCAAATCCTTCACTCCACTTGAAGTGATGTTTGCAAATACTAAAACTAACACCAAGTCGTTTGTATTGACCAGCACTGCATTTGTAAAATCACAAAACCCTTTGCATAGAAATGTCCTTGATTTATATTTACCTCAAGTTAGCTAAATCCAACATGAAGTAAATAATTCTAAATTGTTACAAAGACACATTCTTTGCTGTAACTGCTCAAGGTATATATGCATGTGGAAGAAAGATTGAAATAATTCCAAAATATAGTGTGGTTAAATTGCCCATAGAAAGTACCTAAAATCTCTCTAATTATGGTGTTAACTCCTTACTTATCATATAGCTAATGTTCTCACTTTAAATATGAACTTTTAAAATATTTTAATATATTTTTTGGAGAGATGGTCTCACTATGTTACCCAGGCTTGTCTCAAACTCCTGGCCTCAAGCCTCTAATGATCCTCCTGCCTCAGCCTCCTGAGTAGCTGAGACTACAGGCACAAGCAGCCTTGCCCAGCTTCTAAATATAAATTTTAACATGTGGAATTAAAAATTAAAGGGCGTTGAGGAGAGCTCTATTTGACATTTATTGCAACTGATGACCTATGGACAGATAGACTCACTTTGTGCAGCAAGAACCCCAAGAGTTATTTCTAAAAATCCTAAGAACTAACTAACACTTACTGAACCCTTAAAACAGTGTCAAACACTACACATAAGTTATATTTTTAGCTTTCCCAATACATTATAAATTGTTATGTCCATTATGTGCAAATGACTAGGTGCCCAAGATGGTCAAGTGACTCACAATTCCGCAAACTAGTCAGTGTCAAAGCAGAGTCACCCTGGGTCTCTCAGTTAAAAGCCGAGACTCTCAATGCCTTTGACATTTTGCCTCTGAGCTAACATGACAGTTATGAAAAATTAGTTCTTTTGGGTTTTAGTCAATTAAACTATAAGCTCAGAAAGGCTGAGAGCACTTCTGTTGATTATTTTATTCACTCATTTGTTAATTCATTTAACAAATGTTTATTTAATGAAGATCCCCTGGGCATTAGAAATTTAAAACAAGACAGAAAATAATCCCTGTATCATGAAAATTATATTCTAGTAAGGAAGACAGTAGCATAGTAAGAAAAATAAATAAGATAATTTCTGTTAGTGCTAAGTTCTATGAAAATTATAAAATGTGATAGAAATGGGTTACATTTAGCTAGAGTGGTAATGTGAGACCATTTTCGCAGAAGAAACATTGGAGTTTATAAATGCACAACCCTGCATCAGCATTTTGAAGACAAGATTTCACATCTGTCGTCTTAATTTTGATTAATTCAAATTCAATTTTTTCTCTCCATTTCTTTAAAATTACTTCAGATGAAAAGTCACAGAGCTCCTTAGATGGAAATGTCTCCTTCTGTTGCTAACATTCTTCTTTTTAATCACAGTTACTGCTTCATAGTAAGAACATTTTTTGAAAAGAATGAGCTTGTATAATAGTATAACTTTGAGGAAAAGGTGATTATTTTTCCCATTGCTTGTCACTTAACAATTCAAAGGGCCTCTTTTGCCATTGTTAGTCTTGTTGAAGGTGGCTCTAATAAGTGAGCAAAGAACAATCTGCTTTAGTAAACGAGGCATATCAATTCATGAGATGGTAGTGAGTTTCTTTGTTTTCTAATGTTAGAAAAAGTATTAACCAACTGGGCGAATGAGGGAAATGTAGTGATAATATCCAATAGTCATTTGGGCACTATCTTTTTTTTAGTTTCCTAAATCGAATAACTGTCACTACTCATATGAACCAAATGCTTCCCTCATGTTTACCTTAAAATATAACAAAAAAGAATTCAGGCTAAATTTTTTTTAATCACAAAATTCTTATCACTTTCATAATACACCACAATATTTATTGCTTGTTCACTTTACTAAGGCAATCTCTGAATTAAATTTTTGTTTGTAATATTTCCTGATAGCATCTGAAAGTCCAAAATAAAACCTCTGTATACAGAGGCAATTAGAAACTTATCTTTCACTGGGGAAAATGTATCACCGAGGAGAAAGACTTTAATAATATTCTTCTTTTAGAGGACAAGATAGCCAACAACTATTAAAACTCTGAAATAGCATTGTAAATTTTAATTATATATTGTTTCACTATGGCCAAACTATGATTAAAAGAATATTTATATTCTTGTTACCAAAAAGGTACAGCACATTTTTTTTTTTTTACTTTGCCTCCTATTAATTGAAGCTATATAATCTCTAAACGCGAGAATAGAGCCATCTGCTCTTTCTTCTTCCTTTAATTAGTTTGTGTTGGCTTTGACAAGGTGTTACTGGAGATTTATTGCAAACAATTTCACTGCACTGGAGCCTAGGTCCTGTTATTTAAACATGGCAAAATCTGAGTGCCCTGTGGCTTGTGTACATGGTTTTTCAATGGGCTAATTTCCAAAAGAAAGCTCAGAATCTGTAAAAGCGGCATGATACAACTGATGTCCTACTCGATGGACTCTTGCTGAAAGCAAGATTTTGTTACCAAAACTCTTATTTTGTTAACTTTTTATTGTTATCTTGTCTGAACAATCAATATGTCTTTCTAAATTTTCGTTCCACAGATGTTCAGTCCTCTTTCTCTAGGACTTTCTTTGTAAGCTCCATTAGGGAAAGTTGTTTAAATAATAAATGTTTCCTGTTTTTCTCACTTGCTGTCTCTTTGAAATGTTGTTGAATAGTGATGCTTTTCCTCCTGAGAATGTTCTAATAATTAAGTTTTCCTGGAAACCTACAGCCTATCAAGATTGCATCAGCAAGAAATAGAAAACCTGAGCAGACCAATAACAAGTATCAAGAAGCAGTAATAAGGTCTGCCAACAAAGAAAAACTCAGGACCAGATGAATTCACTGCTGAATTCTCCTAAAGATGTAAAAAAGAACCAACATCGAACTTCCTCAAACTATTCCAAAAAACGGAAGTGGAGGGAATTCTCTGTAACTCATTCTTTGAGGCTAGCATGACTCTAATACCAAGATGAGAGAAGGACACAACAAAAAGAAAACTACAGGCTGATATCCCTGATGAACACAGAAGTGAAAATCCTCAACAAATACTAGCAGACCGAATCCAACAACAGGTTAAGAAAAAATAACACACCATGATAAAGTGAGATTTATCTTAGGGTTGCAAGGATGGCTCTATATTTGCAAATCAATAAACTTGATGCATCACATTAACAGAATAAAGGAAAAAACATATGACCATCAATAGATGCAAAAAAAGCATTTGACAAAAATAAAAATCCCTTTATGACAAAAACTCTCAAGAAACTCAGCATAGAAGAATCACACCTCAAAATAATAAAGGCCATATATGACGAACACCATACTGAATAGGGGAAGGTTGAAAACCTTTCATCTAAAAACTGGAACAACAAGGGATGCCCACTGTCACCACTCCTATTCAACAAGTACAGGGAGTCTAGTAAGAACAATTAGGCAATAAAAAGAAATAAAACACAGTCAAATTGGAAAAGCAGAAGTCAAATTGTTCATCTTCTCAGATGGCATAATTTTATATTAAGTTGGTGCAAACGTAACTGCGGTTTTATTCTAATGTCTAGGAAAAAACAAATGACATCACAAAAAAACTTTTAGGACTGATGAACAAATTCAGTAACGTTGCAGAACATAAAATCAACACACAAACATCAGCTGCATTTCATACATCAATAATGAAATAGCTGAAAAGAAACAAAGAAGACAAACCTATTTACAATAGTTATAAAAAAATACCTAGGAATAAATTTAACCAAGGAGATAAAAGATCTCTACAAGGAAAACTACAAAACACTGTTATAAGAAATTGAAGAGGATGTAAATAAATGAAAAGACATTCCATGTTCGTGAATTGGAAGAATTAATATTGTTAAAATGAACATACTGTCCAAGTTAATCTATAGATTCAATGCAATCTCTATCAAAATTCCAATGTCATTTTCACAGAATTAGAAAAAAAAAACCTAAAATATTTATGGAACCAAAAAAGCAAAAGCAATCCTAACCAAAGTAAGGAAAGAAAAATGGGAGGAAGGGAGGAAGGAAGGAAAGAAAGGAGGGAGGGAGGGAGACACTTAACATGCAATAATTCACAAGGTATACAAGCTACAGTTGAATCATGAATTCATTTAAAAACATATCTTTGGTTAAAACTTGATAAGTATTTTCTCTTTAATTATGATTTTCAATATATTTGAATGCAGAGATTTTAACAGCAAATAGAAAGAAATATTCATGGATTGTGATTTTTCTGTGTGAACTATACATAGTGGTTGACCTTGCATTTTTATTCATCATTTTGCATCTTTTGATTGTCAAGTAATATTTAGTGATTGATAACTGAATGGCTATCAATTATATGTGATAAATGCATTGATTAATTTAACAAAGGTTATACCTATATTATAGGAAACTAGCTCCCTTGCACTCACAACTATTTATGTTTGAATCATTTGTGAGGAATGTAAATGGACAAATGTAAATATTTTCTAAATGATGGTAGATAGGATTATGTACTTAATCATAAATCAGAAATTATAAATATTATGTACTTAAATAATTATTTGAGACACTAATGAGGTAATCTTACTATGTCTTTTAAAAATTCCTAAGTAGGTAATATCAAATGTCAGGAATGGTGTGGAGTTACTGAAATATATTTCTGGTTGAAAGAGTACATTGGTAAAATGACTTCAAAAAATAATTTAGTATGACCTGATAGTGTTGAATTTGCACACAGCTTATGGCCCAGCAATTTCATTCCTAAGCATATGAATATATATCCTCAAACCTTCTAGAAGAGATATGTTCCCATAACATTACGTGCTGATGGCCTAGAGGTCTTAGCTTCAGAGGGAGGAACGCTGCCACCAGGAGACACAACAATGATCCCATTAAACAGGAAGTTAAGATTGCCACCTGGACACTTTGGGCTCCTCCTACCTTTCAGTCAACAGGCTAAGAGGAAGTTACAGTGTTGGCTGGAGTGATTGACCTTGACTATTAAGATGAAATCAGTCTACTAGTACACAACAGAGGTAAGGAAGAGTATACATGGAATATAGGAGATCCATTAGGTTGTCTCTTATTATTACCGTGCCCTGAGATTAAGGTCAATGGGAAACTACAACAGCTCAATCCAGGCAGGACGACAAATGGTCATGACCCTTCAGGAATGAAGGCTTGGGTCACTCCACCAGGAAAAAAACAAAACAAAACAAAAAAACCACGATCTGATGAGTGGCTTGCTGAAGGCAATGGGAATACAGAATGGGTAGTAGAAGGTAGTCATCAATACAAGCTATGACCACGTGACAAGCTGCAGAAATGAGGACTGTAAATGTGATGAGTATTTCCTCATTGTTTTGTTAAATACATGTTTGTGCATGTATACACTTGTACTAAGAAAATATCTTTATTTTATTTCCTTTCTCCTTTATCATGTGACATAAGATTTATTGACTTCATATCAGCATTTAAGTATTGTTATCTTTATGTAATAATATTTGGGTTGGGGATTGGTTCATTTCCGGTTGTACAAAGGATAGTTGTATGACGTTAGGCATAATTATGACCTTACTGTTGTCTTTATTTGAAGATTATGTATGATCTCAGGAGATGTGTATGGGTTTAAGTTCACAAGGGGTGGACTTGTGATGGTTAATACTGAGTGTCAACTTGATTTGATTGAAGGATGCAAAGTATTGATCCTAGGTGTGCCTGTGAGGGTCTTGCTAAAAGAGATTAACATTCGAGTCAGTGGTCTGGGAAAGGCAGATCCGCCCTTAATCTGGGGGGACACCATCTAATCAGATGCCAGCATGGCTAGAATATAAAGCAGGCAGAAAAACATGAAAAGACTAGACTGTCCTAGCCTGCATCTTTCTCCCAAGCTAAATGCTTCCTGCCCTCAAACATCAGACTCTACATTCTTCAGCTTTGAAACTTGAACTGGCTTTCCTTGCTCCTCATCTTGCAGACAGCCTACTGTGGGACATTGTGATAGTGTGAGTTAATACTAAATAAACTCCCCTTTATATATAAATATATTTATATATAAATAAATACATATATTCTATTTGTTCTGTCCCTCCAGGGAACTCTAAGATATTTAAAATTATATATAAAATAACAGCTTGTAATTAAATAAATAGTGCATGACCACCAACATTAGAAGAGGTAAGTAATGTTTTTTTTTTAATTTATTTATTTATTTTTTATTATTATACTTTAAGTTTTAGGGTACATGTGCACATTGCGCAGGTTAGTTACATACATATACATGTGCCATGCTGGTGTGCTGCACCCACTAACTCGTCATCTAGCATTAGGTATATCTCTCAATGCTATCCCTCCCCCCTCCCCCCACCCCACAACAGTCCCCAGAGTGTGATGTTCCCCTTCCTGTGTCCATGTGATCTCATTGTTCAATTCCCACCTATGAGTGAGAATATGCAGTGTTTGGTTTTTTGTTCTTGCAATAGTTTGCTGAGAATGATGATTTCCAATTTCATCCATGTCCCTACAAAGGACATGAACCCAACCTTTTTTATGGCTGCATAGTATTCCATGGTGTATATGTACCACATTTTCTTAATCCAGTCTATCATTGTTGGACATTTGGGTTGGTTCCAAGTCTTTGCTATTGTGAATAATGCCGCAATAAACATACGTGTGCATGTGTCTTTATAGCAGCATGATTTATAGTCATTTGGGTATATACCCAGTAATGGGATGACTGGGTCAAATGGTATTTCTAGTTCTAGATCCCTGAGGAATCGCCACACTGACTTCCACAATGGTTGAACTAGTTTACAGTCCCACCAACAGTGTAAAAGTGTTCCTATTTCTCCACATCCTCTCCAGCACCTGTTGTTTCCTGACTTTTTAATGATCGCCATTCTAACTGGTGTGAGATGGTATCTCATTGTGGTTTTGATTTGCATTTCTCTGATGGCCAGTAATGATGAGTATTTTTTCATGTGTTTTTTGGCTGCATAAATGTCTTCTTTTGAGAAGTGTCTGTTCATGTCCTTTGCCCACTTTTTGATGGGGTTGTTTGTTTTTTTCTTGTAAATTTGTTTGAGTTCATTGTAGATTCTGGATATTAGCCCTTTGTCAGATGAGTAGGTTGCAAAAATTTTCTCCCATTTTGTAGGTTGCCTGTTCACTCTGATGGTAGTTTCTTTTGCTGTGCAGAAGCTCTTTAGTTTAATTAGATCCCATTTGTCAATTTTGTCTTTTGTTGCCATTGCTTTTGGTGTTTTAGACATGAAGTCCTTGCCCATGCCTATGTCCTGAATGGTAATGCCTAGGTTTTCTTCTAGGGTTTTTATGGTTTTAGGTCTAACGTTTAAGTTTTTAATCCATCTTGAATTGATTTTTGTATAAGGTGTAAGGAAGAGATCCAGTTTCAGCTTTCTACATATGGCTAGCCAGTTTTCCCAGCACCATTTATTAAATAGGGAATCCTTTCCCCATTGCTTGTTTTTCTCAGGTTTGTCAAAGATCAGATAGGTGCACATATGCGGCATTATTTCTGAGGGCTCTGTTCTGTTCCATTGATCTATATCTCTGTTTTGGTACCAGTACCATGCTGTTTTGGTTACTGTAGCCTTGTAGTATAGTTTGAAGTCAGGTAGTGTGATGCCTCCAGCTTTGTTCTTTTTGCTTAGGATTGACTTGGCAATGCGGGCTCTTTTTTGGTTCCATATGAACTTTAAAGTAGTTTTTTCCAATTCTGTGAAGAAAGGCATTGGTAGCTTGATGGGGCTGGCATTGAATCTGTAAATTACCTTGGGCAGTATGGCCATTTTCACGATATTGATTCTTCCTACCCATGAGCATGGAATGTTCTTCCATTTGTTTATATCCTCTTTTATTTCCTTGAGCAGCGGTTTGTAGTTCTCCTTGAAGAGTTCCTTCACATCCCTTGTAAGTTGAATTCCTAGGTATTTTATTCTCTTTGAAGCAATTGTGAATGGGAGTTCAGTCATAATTTGGCTCTCTGTTTGTCTGTTGTTGGTGTATAGGAATGCTTGTGATTTTTGCACATTGATTTTGTATCTCGAGACTTTGCTGAAGTTGCTTATCAGCTTAAGGAGATTTTGGGCTGAGACAATGGGGTTTTCTAGATATACAATCATGTCATCTGCAAACAGGGACAATTTGACTTCCTCTTTTCCTAATTGAATACCCTTTATTTCTTTCTCCTGCCTAATTGCCCTGGCCAGAACTTCCAACACTATGTTGAATAGGAGTAGTGAGAGAGGGCATCCCTGTCTTGTGCCAGTTTTCAAAGGGAATGCTTCCAGTTTTTGCCCATTCAGTATGATATTGGCTGTGGGTTTGTCATAGATAGCTCTTATTATTTTGAAATACGTCCCATCAATACCTAATTTATTGAGAGTTTTTAGCATGAAGGGTTGTTGAATTGTGTCAAAGGCCTTTTCTGCATCTATTGAGATAATCATGTGGTTTTTGTCTTTGGCTCTGTTTATATGCTGGATTACATTTATTGATTTGCGTATATTGAACCAGCCTTGCATCCCAGGGATGAAGCCCACTTGATCATGGTGGATAAGCTTTTTGATGTGCTGCTGGATTCGGTTTGCCAGTATTTTATTGAGGATTTTTGCATCAATGTTCATCAAGGATATTGGTCTAAAATTCTCTTTTTGGTTGTGTCTCTGCCGGCTTTGGTATCAGAATGATGCTGGCCTCATAAAATGAGTTAGGGAGGATTCCTTCTTTTTCTATTGATTGGAATAGTTTTAGAAGGAATGGTACCAGTTCCTCCTTGTACCTCTGGTAGAATTCGGCTGTGAATCCATCTGGTCCTGGACTCTTTTTGGTTGGTAAGCTATTGATTATTGCCACAATTTCAGATCCTGTTATTGGTCTATTCAGAGATTCAACTTCTTCCTGATTTAGTCTTGGGAGAGTGTATGTGTCCAGGAATTTATCCATTTCTTCTAGATTTTCTAGTTTATTTGCGTAGAGGTGTTTATAGTATTCTCTGATGGTAGTTTGTATTTCTGTGGGATCGGTGGTGATATCCCCTTTATCATTTTTTATTGTGTCTATTTGATTCTTCTCTCTTTTTTTCTTTATTAGTCTTGCTAGCGGTCTATCAATTTTGTTGATCCTTTCAAAAAACCAGCTCCTGGATACATTAATTTTTTGAAGGGTTTTTTGTGTCTCTATTTCCTTCAGTTCTGCTCTGGTTTTAGTTATTTCTTGCCTTCTGCTAGTTTTTGAATGTGTTTGGTCTTGCTTTTTTAGTTCTTTTAATTGTGATGGTAGGGTGTCAATTTTGGATCTTTCCTGCTTTCTCTTGTGGGCATTTAGTGCTATAAATTTCCCTCTACACACTGCTTTGAATGCGTCCCAGAGATTCTGGTATGTTGTGTCTTTGTTCTCGTTGTTTTCAAAGAACATCTTTATTTCTGCCTTCATTTCGTTATGTACCCAGTAGTCATTCAGGAGCAGGTTGTTCAGTTTTCATGTAGTTGAGTGGTTTTGAGTGAGATTCTTAATCCTGAGTTCTAGTTTGATTGCACTGTGGTCTGAGAGATAGTTTGTTATAATTTCTGTTCTTTTACATTTGCTGAGGAAAGCTTTACTTCCAAGTATGTGGTCAATTTTGGAATAGGTGTGGTGTGGTGCTGAAAAAAATGTATATTCTGTTGATTTGGGTGGAGAGTTCTGTAGATGTCTATTGGGTCCGCTTGGTGCAGAGCTGAGTTCAATTCCTGGATATCCTTGTTGACTTTCTGTCTCGTTGATCTGTCTAATGTTGACAGTGGGGTGTTAACGTCTCCCATTATTAATGTGTGGGAGTCTAAGTCTCTTTGTAGGTCACTCAGGACTTACTTTATGAATCTGGGTACTCCTGTATTGGGTGCATATATATTTAGGATAGTTAGCTCTTCTTGTTGAATTGATCCCTTTACCATTATGTAATGGCCTTCTTTTTCTCCTTTGATCTTTGTTGGTTTAAAGTCTGTTTTATCAGAGACTAGGATTGCAACCCCTGCCTTTTTTTGTTTTCCATTTGCTTGGTAGATCTTCCTCTATCCTTTTATTTTGAGCCTATGTGTGTCTCTGCACATGAGATGGGTTTCCTGAATACAGCACACTGATGGGTCTTGACTCTTTATCCAATTTGCCAGTCTGTGTCTTTTAATTGGAGCATTTAGTCCATTTACATTTAAAGTTAATAGTGTTTTGTGTGAATTTGATCCTGTCATTATGATGTTAGCTGGTTATTTTGCTCGTTAGTTGATGCAGTTTCTTCCTAGTCTCGATGGTTGTTACATTTTGGCATGATTTTGCAGTGGCTGGTACCAGTTGTTCCTTTCCATGTTTAGCACTTCCTTCAGGAGCTCTTTTAGGGCAGGCCTGGTGGTGACAAAATCTCTCAGCATTTGCTTCTCTGTAAAGAATTTTATTTCTCCTTCACTTATGAAGCTTAGTTTGGCTGGATATGAAATTTTGGGTTGAAAATTCTTTTCTTTAAGAATGTTGAATATTGGCCCCCACTCTCTTCTGGCTTGTAGGGTTTCTGCCAAGAGATCCGCTGTTAGTCTGATGGGCTTCCCTTTGAGGGTAACCCGACCTTTCTCTCTGGCTGCCCTTAACATTTTTTCCTTCATTTCAACTTTGGTGAATCTGACAATTATGTGTCTTGGAGTTGCTCTTCTCGAGGAGTATCTTTGTGGCGTTCTCTGTATTTCCTGAACCTGAACGTTGGCCTGCCTTGCTTGATTGGGGAAATTCTCCTGGATAATATCCTGCAGAGTGTTTTCCAACTTGGTTCCATTCTCCCCATCACTTTCAGGTGCACCAATCAGACGTAGATTTGGTGTTTTCACACAGTCCCATATTTCTTGGAGGCTTTGCTCGTTTCTTTTTATTCTTTTTTCTCTAAACTTTCCTTCTCACTTCATTTCATTCATTTCATCTTCCTTTCCTGATACACTTTCTTCCAGTTGATCGCATCGGCTCCTGAGGCTTCTGCATTCTTCACGTAGTTCTCGAGCCTTGGTTTTCAGCTCCATCAGCTCCTTTAAGCACTTTTCTGTATTGGTTATTCTAGTTATACATTCTTCTAAATTTTTTTCAAAGTTTTCAACTTCTTTGCCTTTGGTTTGAATGTCCTCCCGTAGCTCAGAGTAATTTGATCGTCTGAAGCCTTCTTCTCTCAGCTCGTCAGAGTCATTCTCCATCCAGCTTTGTTCCGTTGCTGGTGAGGAGCTGCGTTCCTTTGGAGGAGGAGAGGTGCTCTGATTTTTAGAGTTTCCAGTTTTTCTGTTGTTTTTTCCCCATCTTTGTGGTTTTATCTACTTTTGGTCTTTGATGATGGTGATGTACAGACGGGTTTTTGGTGTGGATGTCCTTTCTGTTTGTTAGTTTTCCTTCTAACAGACAGGACCCTCAGCTGCAGGTCTGCTGGAGTACCCTGCAGTGTGAGGTGTCAGTGTGCCCCTGCTGGAGGGTGCCTCCCAGTTAGGCTGATCGGGGGTCAGGGGTCAGGGACCCACTTGAGGAGGCAGTCTACCCATTCTCAGATCTCCAGCTGCATACTGGGAGAACAACTGCTCTCTTCAAAGCTGTCAGACAGGGACATTTAAGTCTGCAGAGGTTACTGCTGTCTTTTTGTTTGTCTGTGCCCTGCCCCCAGAGGTGGAGCCTACAGAGGCAGGCAGGCCTCCTTGAGCTGTGGTGGGCTCCACCCAGTTCCCGCTTCCTGGCTGCTTTGTTTACCTAATCAAGCCTGGGCAATGGCGGGCGCCCCTCCCCCAGCCTCGCTGCCGCCTTGCAGTTTGATCTCAGACTGCTGTGCTAGCAATCAGCGAGACTCCGTGGGTGTAGGACCCTCCGAGCCAGGTGCGGATATAATCTCGTGGCGCGCCGTTTTTTAAGCCCATCGGAAAAGCGCAATATTCGGGTGGGAGTGACCCGATTCTCCAAGTGCCGTCCGTCACCCCTTTCTTTGATTAGGAAAGGGAACTCCCTGACCCCTTGAGCTTCCCGAGTGAGGCAATGCCTCACCCTGCTTCGGCTCGCGCATGGTGCGCGCACCCACTGACCTGCGCCCACTGTCTGGCACTCCCTAGTGAGATGAACCCGGTACCTCAGATGGAAATGCAGAAATCACCCGTCTTCTGCGTCGCTCAGGCTGGGAGCTGTAGACCGGAGCTGTTCATATTCCGCCATCTTGGCTCCTCCCCCCGGTAAGTAATGTTTGATATATTAATTCCACAGACTATTCTACAGCAGAGAAAACAACTGAATAATAGCTATATGAAATGACATGGATGAGCTGCAAGATGTAAATCAAGCGAAAAGAAAAACTGAAGAAGAATATACAACTTAATTCTATTGATGCATATTTCAAATAAAACAGGAAACTTTTAGAGATAAAAATATATATAAGTAAGTAGAAGCAAAGGAAAAATAAATAACTCAATATGATGAGTACCCTGAACATGGAGAGAAGGAGATGGGAAAGGGATTGGGCACACAAAGAATTTTAAGCTAATAATTTTTTAATTACACTGAGTGTTGTGCCCACAGAGCATCACCATATCTTTATTCTTAATCCTTTACACATATTTTATAAATTTCCTTTTGTTTCTACTCAATATTTAATGAAAAATGATAGGTAATTGTGTAATGCTTGTGTTTTAAATAGGTATTTATAATAATTAAAACATATTATTGCTCCTTAAGCATTGAAGAAGAAATAAAAAAGAAAGAAAATAAATTAAAAAATTAAACCCCAAACAAAATTTTAGAAGTAATAAAAAAAGAGAATAATTTTGGACTCCTGGCATTAGCTACTATGATGACCTATTTATCTCCTACAGTGTAGTTGACATGAAGAAAAATTTGGCTAACTCTGGATTTTATTTCTGGCATATACTGCATTTAAAAACCTGTTCAGAAGAAGAATTGCTTGCATTTTGATTCTCACATAGCTAGATCCCCAGCCAAATCTAAGACTGTGTTTCATTGCGAGTAGATGCACATCTGTGTGTGTGTGTGTGTGTGTGTGTGCATGCACACATGTGACCTGCCTACTGGTACCATCCAAGGACTTGGAATAACATTGAAATTGGCTCAATACTTTTATCTATCTGAGCTATCATTTTTTCCTTCAGAAGCCATGAAATGTGTTTGATAAATTATAACCATATTATTTGATAATATATCACTACCATTGCATTGTAAATTATCAATCACAAGAAGAGTCAAGTCATCAGGCCCCCAAAATAGAGTTGTGGGAAGTAGAAAGCATTAAAGTCAAAAACACTCATGTTTCTCCTTTCTGTATTACATGTCATATGACCAAGCTCCACCTCACTATGTCTTCAACACTCCGTGTCTAGCCTAGGCTAGATATTTAACCAAGCTCAGTTCATTAACTAATCAATTTCACTTTACACAAATTCTGCAAACATGTTTTCAGGGGCAAACAAATTTTGGAAATACCTTGTCAACCACAGGTAACAGGTTCCTTTACTACTGATTTAGAGGATGTAAAACAAACTGTATTTTGATTCTTCATTAAATGGGGAACATTATACACATTTTTTTTTTCAAATTCATTTGATTTTGATGGTTATTCCCCTCCCTCGAAGATCTACCTCATAGGACTAGTGATTTTGTGGAATGGACTTTGGGAAATGCTGCTACAAGTTATTCTATTCTATTCTGTACCTGTCTCTAAAAAGGTATGGTAATTAGAAAATCCAGGATGTGTTAATAGAATATTAGCATATATCATGGAGTAGCAGAATGGGCACAGAAGCTACTATTGTTTTAATGTGTCCCACAGATATTCATGTGTTGGAAATTGAATCCCTAACGTAATAGTGTTGGAAAGTGAGGCCTAAGAGGAGGTGTTTAGGTCATGAGGGCAGAACCCTCATGAATAGATTAATGTCATCATAAAAAAACAAGTTCAACCCCCTCTTGGGCTTTTGCCCTTCAGCCCTCCATCATGTGATGGCACATCACGAAAGTCTTAGCCAGATGCAGGTGTCTTGATCTTGAACTTCCCAGACTCCTGAAGTATGAACCAACAAATTTGTGTTTATTATGAATTACCCAGTGTCAAGTATTCTGTTATAGCAGTGCAAAGCAGACTTAGACAGAAGTGAGCAGAAGTAAGCTGAAGCAAAAGTTTAAATATATATATATTTAAACTTTGAATATATAAATATATATAGTCTATAAAATATATAAAACTTTGAATATATATAGTATATAAAATATTTAAAAAGTATTTTATAAAATGTAATTTCCCCCATGATCTTTGAGGATACTATTAAAGACAGCCTTTGCCTTTAATATTTACTTGTAGCTTTTTTCCCCTGTTCTAAATCCCCCAAAATTAATCTGGCATCTAATGGTTAAAAAAATGGTATTCTAGTTAGATTCACCTTCTCTTTAATCAGGCCAAAGAATTTTCACCTTAATTATAGAAGAAGGTCTCACTCAAGTTTCTCTACAAATATCATGTGACCCATATCCTACTTGTTTGTTTTTAGATTCTTAGTCTCCATAAAAGAACAAGACCAAAAGGTGAGAAAAGTCAGGTGAATGTTCTGAATGGAATGTAATAAAAAGAATCTAACACTCCATATGGAACTAAGTTTTCCTTAAGTGTGAAAATGAGAGAAAAATAACGTATAATGTTGTTATGATTGCCTGTAGGATTTTAGAAGTTTCAACGCTAATTCACACATACCACTTTCCTCCAAAACTTTATGTAAGTTGTACGTATACTTATGGGATTATAATTTTTTCCCACATAAGGATGATAAATGTCAAAACACAAAACATTTAGATTACCTGTATAAAGCCACAAGGAATACTATGACATTCATACAGTGAGAGAGCTGGATTAGATGTGTATCAGGAGCTGATCAAGATCTAACACTATTGGATTCTATAACGTGCCGATATTTCTTCCAGTCACAACTTGCTTTCAGCAACATGAAGAAGGATGACAACAGCAAACACATCAAGGTTATTTCTCATGAATAGTCTCAATACTAACCACACTCAACACCTTGATTAATTTCTAAATCAACCATTCATCTTTGGGTCAAATATGGTAGTATGGAGTGACTGAGCTGGAGTCCATTGCTTCTGCCCTACTTGCCTGCACGCAGGCAGACGGTGTAGCACTGCTGGTCTACAATAGTGGTATGTAGAATTCTGCCTGTTACCAGTACATGAACAAAAATACAATGGCATGCAGGTGCTTAATAGATTAAATAAATATACAATACGTAAAACAAGCAAATATTTTTGGTTTGGTTCAATAATTGGAATGTTTGGTTCAATAATTCCTGGAATATCAATTGGGAAAGATTGATAGCTTTGTAGAACTGGAAAACTAACACACAAAATGACTCCTTGCCACTTATCCACCATCAGACCAAATATGTGCTCTAAAGTCTTTAGTTAATGAAGTTTGTTGGTAATGTCAGGCACCTGTTAACCTCAATTGGCATGGATATTTGATAATGTCTATTGCAATTTCTGCTTGAATTGTCTGTACAGATGAGCACCAGATAATCAGGTGTCAAGATGGGAAAAGTATAAAAAATATAGGGGACTAACATGTCTTCATTTCTTAGTTTGTTCAGAAACTGCTCTGCAGAGTGAAAACTGGAAGCAAGTCTTTGGTTACAAAGTGCGTTTCTTGAAAAGATTGGGTAGATTTTGCCAAAATAAAAATGGAGAATAATACATCCCAATATTTTCATATGTTTATGTTTTTTAGGCCTTTAAAACAGTTCTAAGCTATTATTCCCATTGTGTAGTACAGGAAGCCAAATCTGAGACAGGTTAAGTAACCTAGCCAAGATTTACAAACCAAAAATGGCAAATCCAGAATTCTAACTCAAATATTTCTTACTACAACACCCACTACCTTTTTTTTTAAATTTGTGTGGGTACATAGTAGGTACATATATTTATGGGATACATGAAATATTTTGATATGGGCATTCACAGTGAAATAAGCACATCATGAAGAATGAGGTTTCCATCCCCTCAAGCATTTATCCTTTGAGTTACAAACAATCCAATTACACTCTTTAAGTTATTTTTAAATGCACAATTAAGTTATTATTGATTATAGTTACCATGTTGTGTGATAAAATAGTAGGTCTTATTCATTCTTTCTAGCTACTTCTTGTACCCATTAACTATACCTGCCTCTCCCCCACCTCCTACTACCCTCCCTAGTAACCATCCTGTTACTCTCTATCTTCATGAGTTGAATTGTTTTGAATTTTAGATCCCACAAATAAGTGAAAATATGTGATGTTTGTCTTTCTGTGCCTGGTTTATTTCACTTAGCATAAGCCCTCCAGTTCCATTCATGTTGTTGCAGATGACTGGATCTTATTCTTTTTTATGGCTGAATAGTACTTTATTGTGTATAAGTACTGCATTTTCTTTATTCATTCATCTGCTGATGGGCCAGGTTGCTTTCAAATTTTGAGTATTGTGAACATCGCTGCAACCTCAGTGTCTTAAGCACTAAGGTTTTTGCCCCTAAATAAATGAGAAGCCTCACATAATGTAGAGGAGGACTTTTCTGAAACTCTGAAATTGTATTATTCTAATTTGTACTAACTGAAAAGACAATTGTGTGTCACTCCCATTTTATCTCACATATCTCAAAATGCAGAGCAACTTAGCGATATATAGATGTAAAATTCAGAATGTTGGATTCTTTTCTACCTGTGAGAACTGGGCAAGTCACATACCCCTTTCAGAACTCAGTTTCTGCCTTAATAAAATAAAAAGGCAGGAACTATGATCTTTAAGGTCCCTTTTATATTAAGCACTGTTCAAAATTCCATCATCATTTTTCCTTTATGCCTAAGAATATGATTTTAGAACTCTTCCAACACATAATTCTTTGGTAAAATGGAATTGTACTATGAATAAATAAATAAATAAATTTGCATTGACATTAAAATAAGTCTTTCCAAGTTATATATTATAGATCTGTCTTATCTATTTTAAACATGTCACGGTGCCTCAAGTTTATTTAGATATACTTCCATACAAGGGTATTTATTATTATTTCCAGTGTTTTATTTCTGTTTTTTTTTTCTTTTTGCTTTTACAAGTGAGGCTGATGTGTGCATGTGTTGTGTGAAATTAGACCATATATATGCAATATATATATATGTATCAAATATATAACATAGATATATTCATCTATCTATTTATATGCACTATTTAATTTGGATAGATTCCTAAGATTCCTAGTATTAGTAGCTGGTTCAAAAGAGATGAACACTTTAATTTACTTACATTTATTTGCTGATAATTATCCAAAAATGTTGCAATAATTTACATCACCGTCCACTGTTTGAGGTATTGTATCAGGTTACTTTGGGTTGCAAATAAAAGAAAATGTCAATTTAAGTTTATTTAAATTAGAAAATTCACTTTGTCATGTAACAGAAAGTTCAGAGGATGAAGAGGGCTGTGCTGTGGCCTATTTTTCCTCCTGTTGTTCTATTCTCATAGAGCTCTCCAAGGTGATTTCAAGATGACAGCTGCAGCTTTTCCTAGTGTCCATGCTAGGCCTGACACCATTCAGAGACAGAAATGGGCCTCTTGACCTGTTTTTTAAGAGTGTTCAAATCTTCTGCAGAATTTTTTTTAGCAGATTTCTCCTCTCTTATTTCCCTGAATTATGTCAAAAATCCATGCTTAAACCAATTACTGGGAAAGGGAATGACTCATGAGGATTTAACCCAGATTCGGATCTATGGCCAGCATATTCTAAAGTGTATGAGTATACTAAGAGGAGAAAAAAACTGAACAAAATTGGTTGTTTTTAGAAACGATGTAGTTGGTTGTGGTTAGGCAAGCAATAATGTCTGCCACAGATATTTTTGGTCTTGAGGAAAGGATTTATAACTATATGATGGGCATAATGGTAGATGTTTTAATATGCATATACCTGGTTACTAGTGTACTTGAGCCTTTTTTTCATATATTTATTGACCTTTATCAATTCTTCTCAGTTAAAATTCTTTGTGTATCCCTTTATCATTATATTAAAAAGAAACACTTGTCAATTAATTGGAGCTCTTTGAAGAATAATATTTTCAGACTTTTTGTGTTAAATATTTTGCAAAAAATTCATAGTCTGTAGTTAGATGTTGATTTCTTTTACATTTTTTTCATGAAGATTTCTATCTCATCATTTTCCTTTATGAATTTTGGATATGTGTCTTGCTTAAGAAACCATAAGTTATAAAAATATTTTCCTGTGACTGGGCAAGTAAAATCTAAGCTATTCATTTTTTGATCTTCATCTCTTTTGACATAAAAGTATTATGATAAATTTGAGGGAAGTTGCATTAGTCAATTATTTATCAAGATATATGAGGGATTAGAAAGCAGGATTTGTTCAGCATTTAATAAGGCCTTTCCTGAGCCCAACCTCAATGTAAACATGTCTTCTACCATGTTCTAGTTTTCATTACAACTTAGTTTATTTAGTTCTTATAATAATTCTTTAGCTCATATTTATTTACTGCTATGTGTTTTTCTGTTTAATATCTATCTCCCAAACTAGAAAATTAGACCAAAGAAGAAAATGACTACCTTGTTTTATTCATTGCTCAGTCTTCAGGATACCTAGGGATTGTTGCCTAATGCACAGTAAATGTTCAATAGTGTGATGAAATGAATTAATTGAAACAAAGTTAAGTAAGGAAAGGTAAGAAAGGACAGTGAACCCTGCATTGCAAGCAAATGCAAGAATGGAGATACTACTGTGGAGAGGCCTTTTGGTTTTTTTTTTTTTGAGACGGAGTCTCGCACTCTCGCGAGGCTGAAGTGCAGCGGTGCCACCTCGGCTGACTGCAAGCTCTGCTTCCCAGGTTCACGCTATTCTCCTGGGAGAGGCCTTTTCTGAGACCTAGTTGCCAAATTGTTGCAATTTGACAGTACAGCTTAAAAATGGAGAATTATAAAAATGCTTTTGTCCTTTGACTCAATAATTTGGTAACAATAAATTATCCTATGGGAATGAGTAGAGTGACAATCAAAGATTTGTGTATAATAAAATTTTTAAATTTTATTTTCCTTATATTTCCCAAATATTCCACCTAGATCATGGGTTCCTTTTGTAATCAGTAAAAAGTAAATATTATAAAATGTATGAAGACACATTTCTCAGAAATAACACTGGCATAGCCAGGTTTTTCTAAAGCAGAGAATTACACGTAATTGTTTTCCACTCCTGCCCACCCACTCAACTACATCCAGTTCACTCGAATCTCCCTAATCTCCTACCAGTGAGTGGTATTGTTTCTCACATTCTGATTGATATTTAATATAGATTTTTTATCACCCTACTTTCAATAACTGCATTTAATAAAGGAAAAGGAGAGAGAGAGAGAGAGAGACAGATGAAGACCTCTGTCTAAATGCAGGCACACGAAGCAAGTAGAATATTTCACTCAATTAATTTTCTTCAAGATATTCCACAAAGTTTTGGGAAATTAAAATATGTATTATATATAAGTCTCCGTTTTTTCTCACCTTTGATGCATAAAATAAAGATAAGAAACAACTAGTTAGATTTTAAAAGATTTGTGAATATTAGACCAAACACAAAGGAAGGCCCTCATAGGAGTAAGCCTCTAATCAGAACTGGACCAATTTCCTTTTGTTTTCACTTCTGAAATGTATCTTTCTAGTACTTATTTCTATTCTCTAACAACATAAAGCAGCAATGATATTTGCCACTTGTTAATCTTTATATAAAGATAAACATTCTGAGAAGGTAGTTATACAAACATAGACCTATTCAAAAGGACACAAAGTCAAAGAGTAATGAAATATACAATTTTATAAAAAAAAAAAAACTCAAAACGTAAAAGATCTTAAGTGTACCAGTCTTTCTGTTATATGGATTGGAGAGTTAAAATATAATACCCTATTAAAATGTGTGGTACCCCTTAAGTATCAAGCTGAACGCTTTAGCACGTAAGTATCTTTCTAAAGAGTATTTATAGAATTTCTAGCAAAACATCTAAAGTACTAAATATAGTTAGCAGTAAAAAAATACCTTGATAAGGCCAGGCACAGTGGTTCACGCCTGTAACTCCAGCACTTTGGGAGGCTGAGGCAGGTGGATCAGAAGGTCAGGAATTCAAGGTAAGCCTAGTCAAGATGGTGAAACCCCATCTTTACTAAAAATACAAAAAAATTAGGTGGGCGTGGTGGCGGGCACCTGTAGTCCCAGCTACTCGGGAGGCTGAGGCAGAGAATTGCTTGAATCCGGGAGGTGGAGGTTTCAATGAGCAGAGAAAGTGCCACTGCACTCCAGCCTGGGTGACAGAGCAAGACTCTGTCTCAAAAAAACAAAACAAAACAAAAAAAACCACACCTTGATGATTTCACTTAATCTTACAACTTTTGTTTATTAATGCATAGACGGTGTGAATGGATTAAATTAGAAATGCAGGCAGTTTTTAGGCTAGTGTTTTTTCTTCAGGATCTAGCCGTAGAAACAACTTAAAGGGCAGAAGAGGGAGAGGGAAAGGAGTAATAGCGTGTGTGGCAAAGGATCTGAAATAATTTCTTCTAACAGTACGGAGTAGTGGTGAGGGACACAGTCTGACATCATGAAGATTTAGTTTCTTGGCCGACCTCTACTACTGTCTTGGCAATATAATCTGTCTAAACCTCAGTTTTCTATTCACTATTATATTAAATATAACACTATTCCCTACTTCATTAAGTTGTGATGCTTAAATGAAACAGTGCATATGAATCAGTTAACCGAGTGATTGGCACAAAGCATTCTCCAATTCCTTCTCTGAGGCGGGTGATATTAAAAGTCTATGCCTGTGACTATTTCTGTATCTATGACCCAGTCATTTGGTCAAATGCCTTGATTTCACAATGACATATATCTTAGACATATTGTCTTATGTATTTCACTTTTCAGGAATTCGATTTTTAGAATAGAAACACAGCAACACGGAGCCATAGAAAGTATCATATTAAAGTGGGATCTAGCAAGCATTATGAGGTTTCCAGAACTGGTCTGTTTTCCTTTCTTTCTAGCTGTTAGTTATTCAAGTCTTTATATCTATAAGATGTATTAAGAGTCTTCTGCCGAGCATGGTGGCTCACACTTGTAACCCCAGCACTTTGGCAGGCTGAGGTGGGAGGATTGCTTAAGGCAAGAGTTCAATAATAGCCTGGGGAAAATAACAAGACCCCCATCTATACAAAAAAAGAATAAAAAAAATATATTGGCCAGGTGTGGTGGTGTGTACCTGTAGTGCCAGCTATTCAGGAGGCTGAGGTGGGAGGATCACTTGAGCCCAGAAGTTTGAGGCTGTAGTGGGCTATTATCACACTATTGTACACCAGCCTGAGCAGCAGAAAGAGACCCCAACTCTTAAAAAAGAAAAGATCTTCTAATATTTTGTTTTAGGTAAGACAACAAGAGTTTGTAACTCAAAGAGGCTCAATTATTAATAGTATAAAACTGCTGTACATGCTAGTTACTGTAGCTTGTAACTAAAAGAACCTCAACTAGTAGTACAAGACTAAGAAAATGTTCCAGTTCTCATGTGCATATTCAAATTTCTATTTTTATCTAGAGTGGCAAACAAAATTAATGTTTTAAAGAACATGATATTGAGAAGTGAGACATGAGAAAGAAAGAGGAAGAAAATAAAATTCAGGAAGAGCAACATCTCAGAAGTTGGAGAATTGACTAAATGCATCCCCCAGCTAATTCCCTACTGCATGTTTTTCCTTCACTTTTCTTTCCTTTGTAAAGGATAAATAATAAATAACATATAAAATGGCTATTTTTAAACTTTTATTCCTTTCACCTTAGAGGATTTATAACAAATTGGCAGCTACAGGAAAAAAAAGGATTCTTTTTAAATAAAATTTAAATGTTTTTTAACTTTATAGCTTAGAAAAATTATTTGAGAATTACTGCACTATTATTAACCTCTTGTTACCTCTTTTTAAACATATTTTAATTTCTTAATTCCTTATCTCTGATTATAGCAAAAAATACCTTTTGGAAAGATTGCAAATAACAACTACTTGCAATTTTTTTTCTTTGCATATTTGTGTGACAACACTCAAATATCCGTGTTGTGGAGGTTTACTATAGTGAAAAATGGAAAACAACCTAGGGGAAGAGGAGTTAAATAAATTATGATATATCCATTCCTTGTGATATTAGTCTGCACTTACCTAGAATAAGATAAATTTGTATTTTGTCATGAAGCAATAGTGCTTTTAAGGCAAAAAAATTAAAAACTACAAAACAATATGTATAATATAATCAAAACTTTATATAAAAAATTAAAAAAGCTTTCCACTTCCTAATACCATCACATTGGGGATTCAAACTTTAACATATGAATTCTGAGAGGTCACATGCATTTGGTCTATCACATTTTACCACTGGCCCTTACAAGACCTCTCCTTCTCACATGCAAAATACCCTCATTTCATCTCAACAATCCCAAAAGTCTTAACTCATTTTGGCATCAACTCTAAAGTCTAAAGTCTCTTCTAAATACTACTAAATAAGATATAGGTGAGACTCCAAGTATAATTCATATAATTCTTCCAGAGACAAAGATCCTCTTCATCTATGAACCTGTGAAACCAGATTAGTTACCTGTTTCCAAAACCCCAAGGGCATGCACAGCAATTTGCCTCAAATGGCCTGCTAAAAAACAGCCTCCCTATTGCCATTGACACTTCAAGCATTACTGGATTTGCTAGATCATAAGGTCGAAGCAGTAACACATCTTTCACAGCAGCCTGAACCTCTTGCAGAGCCTTTTCTTGTTCTGGGTCCCACTCAAAACTAGCACCTTTTTGGATTACTTAGTAAATTGACCAGAGTAACACACCCAAATGTAGAATATGTTCAAAAATTCAAATAGGTCCCTAGACATTGTTCCTTTTTTTTTTTTTTTTAATCTCAGCATGCCCTATATCATTGGACCCCAAGAAATTTTGCTGAGGTAGAAAGCCCCTGAATTTTTGTCTGATTTATTTTCTACTCTTTACATGCAGATGTCTTACCAATAAGTCCAGAATAGTTGCTACTTCTTGCACTCTAGGTCCAATCAGCATATATTATCAATATAAGGGACCAGTGTGATATCTTGCAGAAGGAAAAGGTGACCCACATCTCTGTGAAATAATTAGGACATAGGGCTGGAGGGTTAGTAGATTCTTAAGGGTTGTAACTGTGCCAGCCACAGTATGAGATGCTGCATGTAATTTTCAGTCACCTCAGACTTGTGGCTATAGAAGATGAGGATCTCCTCTAGAGCACTCAGAGAATCTTTCAGATTAGTTATTTGGCACTCAAACTGGGAAACTGAATCCCTGAGCTCATCTTTTTCTGCCATCATTTTGTCCAGCAACACTAGGAGCAACAATTTTCACAATATTCCTTTTTTTCCGAAAAATGTCTAAATATAATATAGAGTCATTCTGATTCTTGCTTTTTATAAGTGGTGGTTGATTAGGAGTATCATTATCTATAGTTATTACTTTTATTTAATTACAATATTTAGTGGGTTTTTTTTGGCTTAATACTCTTAAGTAAAAGGGAACAATTGCTTGCGAATAGTTGAGGTCACAAACAAGGTATCATATTGAATAATTTGCTCATAACTGGCAATATGACTACCTCAGATAAAATATATTGAATACAAGAAGGAGAATTCTATTCTTATCACAATGAAAAATTGTTAAAAACTATAAGGTACAATCCCTATTTTTAAGAAGCTTGAAGTTTCCTTAGTAAGATGAGAAACTATATTGACGCAGTAGTATTTCTTAAAAAATAATTTTAACAGTGTATTCAGGTTTCACACACACATGCACATATGTACACAAATGTACACACACACAACTCTCTAGTCACAGAAACACATTATTATTATTATTATTATTATTATTATTATTATTATTATTATTATTTTGAGACAAAGTTTCGTTCTTGTTGCCCAGGCTGGAGTATAATGGCAGGATCTCAGCTCACTGCAACCTCCACCCCTGGGTTCAAGTGATTCTTCTGCCTCAGCCTCCCAAGTAGGTGGAATTACAGGCATGTGCCACCAAACCCGGCTAATTTTGTATTTTTAGTAGAGGCAGGCTTTCACCATGTTGGTCAGACTGGTCTCAAATTCCTAACCTCAAGTGATCCACCCACCTCAGTCTCTCAAAGTCCTGGGATTATAGGTATGAACCACCGTGCCCGGCACATTGTTTTTTAATATTACTAACATGTTAAAGTTATCTTTGATATTACTGCTTGAAGATTTACAGACTGAGGTATTTAAATATACAAAAAATATAATTTTCTGTGGGGTTCAAAGATACTTATTTTTCACTTCCATGTATAGGTTAATATGAGAGAGACAGGCAGACAAAGGGATCTGAATGATATCTGCCATGAGGCAGTATAGTCCCAGAAGAGGGAAACTTTAAAATTATGAGAAAAAAGTAGGCATGGCTTCAAAGAAGAGGTACTCAAAGCATGGTATTAGAGAAAAATCAGAAGGCTGTTTCTTGCTTCTGTCATGCTTATATTGTGTAGTCTTTGGCAAATCATTTAGCGTTTTCAGAATTCAAGCTGTTTCTTAGTATAATAAAAAAGATTGAATTGAATTATCTGTCACTAAGATTCCTTCAACAAACAATCATGTATGGGTGTATTCGAGAAAAAAGTATACATTTTACAATTCATTTTATTTAATTGTGGGGATAATAGGTTTTCAATTTTGCATGTAAGTTAAATTTTAAGAATGGTTAAAATAACCTTAAAAATACCAAAATTACCCATGAAATTTAAATATATATGCTGACATTAAATTAGGTAGAATGCTCACATTGTGAGCAGCGTGTGGGAAATGAAGATAATAAGGCAGTAAACAATTCACTTAATTCATTCTCTGCTTCCTCTTGGAATCAATGGCAGAGATTAAGGGAAAAATCTCCTGGACTCTACCTTCTCTTCTTTGATCTTTCACTATCTAACTCTTGAATTTGTACTCACCCTCTCTGGTTTGCACTTTTCACCCACTGTAATTAAACTTGCCTTCCTCTGTAACTTTATAAGTATCACAATACCTGCAGATGTCTGTATCTCTCTCACAAACCTACACATAGTTGGGGATTAATAAATGTTTATTGAAACAACAATCAAATTTAAAATTTAAAATTTTATGTTTACAATGAGGCTCAATTAAATATGTAATATAAAAATATATGTATAAATCATATTAAATAAAATGCCTATACATGTATACATATAGATGGTAATAATAATACACAAGTGAACACTTACTGCTATGATATGGCTAGTTTTGTACCTGCCAGTATGCTAAGCACTTGACTAGAATTACCTTATTTTATTCATAATAGCCTACGAACTAGTTATTGGTATTACCTACATTTTACAAATGGGAAAAATAAGGCTCAGAGAGACTTTATGTAATTATAATACACAATTAATTAACCTAGAACTAGTAAATTTTCAGCCAATATTCAAACAATCTGTGTAATTCTAGCAGCTACAATTTATTCTAAGTGTCAGTCTGTCTACCATCCATCCATCTATCCATCCGCCCATCCATCCATCTGTTCTTTATGTCTGCATCATCCATCTATCTATAATCTGTAACTTAATTAAAATCATGTAAGGTATATCTTCTAAATCCTGCTTACTTATTTAGCAATATACTATCAACATATTTTACATCATTCAGTATTTTAATATTGTCTTAATGACACATATATTTCCCTCTGTTTTTAACACTATCTACCTCCTTCTTTAAAAAAAGATCTTTATTTCCTTGCTACTTAATCTATATCTTAACACAACTTAAGCTTTTAGCTTCCTAAAAATACCCTAGAAAAATGGCATTTTACTCAAGAATATTTCATAAAATAAGTCAGATGTGTCCCTGAATTTAATTATGTACTCATAAGTTAATTATTATTCAAAAAGTCTATTCAATTAGCTATGTATCACATTGGAGTTTGAATTCTCCAGCAATTTTTTATTCATTTAAAGTCTGAAGCCAAAAGTCTAAAATAAAATGCTAAATGACTAAATGGGTTCTCTGTAAGGCAACTGGAGATGACAAGGCTAATATGGTCTAAATGAAAATGAAAAATGTTTGGAAAAATGAATTTTTGTGTTGAAAGGGAACATTTTGCTTTTCTTTCTTTTTTTTTTTAGTTTTTTTTTTTTTTTTGCTCATACTAAATGCTTTATGCCAGCCTAGTTGAAACAAGCATATTTTTCTCAAATGAAAATAAAACTTATAATCACCACTTATATTTTCGTACACTTCAGGTATGTAAAGTACTGTTTAAAATTTGGCTAAAATAAAATGGTTGTCACTTGAGTAAGATTCCAAGTAATGCAATCAACATTCCAAGAAAGGAAAATAAAATGAAGGCTATCTTTCTGAAGAGATGAGTAAAAGAATGCCACCAGCTCAATGGTTCAAACCAATTCCATCATTAAACTTAATTCTTAGCCAAGCAAAACTCCCAAACTGAAAGCCCCACCCTATGCATTGCACTAATAAGCAATCCTTTGTTCTTCATCCCCAATACTATAAAATGATAAATGGAATATTGTTACATTGAATAATTGAATATCATGACTTAACTAAAAGCATATCATCCTTTAAAGACTGAATTAAATAAACAAGAAACAATTTTATGTATTTCAGAGTATTTAGTAAGAAGAATTGAATCACAAATACTTTATGACCATAATATTCACCTTTGTCTTAAACTATAAATTGAAGTTGTTTACGTGGATGTGAAGACAAAATGAGGCCTGGTAGTGAATTTGCATTTCCTATCTTAATTCTGTTATTAGTCATCTGGGTAATTTTCAATCAGTCATTTATCCTCTCTGGGCCAAATTTATATATTTTTTATTCACAGAGAAACTTTGGTCAGGCATTTTCCTAAGGTCACGTTCAGGTCTGGAATTACATTTGATAACTTTCACACTGAGTAATCCATTTGATATTGATTAAGGAAAATGAGCAGAAAGTAAGAAAGTTGATAAACTATCAAATTCTATAGGAATTATATTGATGGACTCCAGAATTTTTTTTAAAAGTTTTAGTTGCAATTCTATTTAATGTCTAATCCCCACAATCTGCCATGAATAATCTCTTAGAATGCTAATAAATATTTCGTCTTCTTAAATCATTTTTATAAAATGCAGTACCCTAAAAAATTTGTCACCACACTGCTTTTCTCATGTAATTATAAGGGACTTGAGGGCAAATGTCATGACTTACTCACCTCTGCATTCTCCAGCACCTGGCAGTGTCTGACACCTTAATGATAATTAACAGTATTTGTTAAATAAATGAATAAAAATGAATAAATGAATGAATAAATGAATGATAACCTGACTTGAAAGCACACTGGTTTGCCCAGGTTTTTGGAGAACTAGGTTTGAAAAATTTTTCTATTAGAAATTGAATATTAAAATAGTTTCTACTATTTTGTTACAAAACTTATAATAACCCTATGATATATAATGTTCCTTGGTTTAAAATGTTCCATGTGTTAAGATTATTTGATATAACTACACATAAATCGTACAATATTTTCCCATTATCTTTTAAACATGATCAACTTGAAACTTATTTAATGTGCAAATAAGAGCAGAAAATCAAGAAATTGGGGAAAACACAAGCAGTGAGATTTGGACATGAGTCATGCAGTCATTTAACTATTAGGCCACCAAGGAAATGCTACTAGACCATCTTTTGCAGAATGTATGGTTTAACTGGAGAGACAAGCATTAAATAAACATTTAATTAAGTATGGAATTATAATCATTTATATTTGAAATGATGATAAATCCAGGATGATATGAAGCATGTTTAATGGAGACGTAACCTAATTTGTGGGTGAGGGAAGGCTGCACTGAAGAAAATATGTTTCAGATGACATCTGCATAGTGTGTAGGAGACAACCAGGCAAATAGGAAAACATTATAATGCAGAGACAACAGCGTGAGCCAAGGTCCAGGGCCTAGAAAAGCCTTTTGTACTGTAAAGTGTCAGTGTGGTTAGAAAGCCATTACAAAATGGGTCTGAGAAAGCCATTACAAAAGAGGTCTAAAAATAGACAGATGGGTAGGGTTAGCTCATTCGGGACTTGGGCATGTTAAGAGTCCTTAATTTTATCTTACTATGGCAGAGAAGATGTATTAAATTAGCTTAGCAAAGTATGTGATTTCATACAATTTGTGTTTTTACAAGATCACACTAAGTATTCTAAGAGCAGCAATGGATATGTGGTCAATATATAAGGATATTGAACAATAATAGGTGAAAAAATGACGAGGATCCATATTAGGGGATTTGCAGAGGGAAGGAGAGTAGTATGGATTAAAGTTAAATTTAAAAACAATAATTGAGAAGACTGTGTTTGAATGTGAAGGATGAAGGAAAGAGTTATCAAAGATGACTCCAGGTTTATGCCTTGATTTGCTAGTTAATATTATATGAGCAATCATCTGCCTTGAAACTGGCTGAGGTCCCAAAGCTGATAAAATACAAAGAGTTTCAGACCTCCTTTGCAGAGTATACTGAAAAAAAAAAAAAAAAAAGGGAGTAAAACTGATATTATAATCCTCAGCGAGTATTTTTCAAAGGGGCAATTTTGGAAATGTGTGGGATGATTCTGGCTATTACAACCATTTGAATGCCTCTATATATGCTGCTGTGTGCTAAATGATACAACCTTATGAAGAGTCATTCTTCATCCCACAAAACTAAACTACTATATATGTTGATAAAAGAAAAACTTCAGTCGAATTAAGTTTAAAGGAGTTTAAAGGAGGAATGAATGATTTGTGAATCCGGCAGCCCCCAGAATCACAGCAGATTCACAGAGACTCCAGGGGTGCCTGGTGGTCAGAACGTATTTATAGACAAAAAAGGTAAAGTGACGTACAGGAATCAACATGAGGCACAGAAACAGCGAGACTGGTTACAGCTCAGTGTTTGCCATATTTGAATGCAGTCTGAACGCTCAGAAGACTATGAGTGGTTGAAGTATGGCTGCTGGGATTGCCCAACACTCGACTATTGTTATAGGTGCACACTATTAAGTTAGGTTTTCAGTTTTATCTGACTATTAAACTAGGTTTCACAGTTCATCCACAAGGACTCAAATATGGAAGTATGGAGTCCTTCTCAGGCCATGTTTACTTTGCTTTAACAATATAAATCATATTTCTTAATACTAGAATCTCATCTGGGCATGGTGGCTCATGTTTGTGATCCTAGAACATTGGGAGGGCAAGATGAGAGGATTACTTGAGACCAGAAGTTTGAGAACAGCCTGGGCAACATAGGGAGACCTCCTCTCCAGAAAAAAATTTAAAAATTAGCACAGTGTGGTGGCACATGCCCGTAGTCCTAGCTACTTGGGAGGTCAGGAGGGAGGATTGTTTGAGCCCGGGATGTCAAGGCTGCAGTGAACCATGATCGCACCACTGCACTCCAGCTACAGCCTGGGCAACAGAGTGAGACCTTATCTCTAAAAAAGCAAAAAACTATAATCTTTTAGGTTACATGAAAAGCTAGCTATTAAACAAACAAACAACAAAAAAAAATTATTGAGATGGAAACTTAATGGAAAGAAGATATGATGTAGAAAATTTGTTCATGGGGCATATTCTTAATGCTGAAGACAATTTACAATATAACATTTCTAACTCCATATTTACTTGGCAATATTGCAGCACAATAGTGCAATAACTGAAAAAGGAAACTAATTGCATCGTTGCAAATATGACATCGATCCCCTAAAAGAAAATTAGATCCAATTATTAAGTTAGTAGTGACAAATGCAACATTTCAGTCTTATTAGACTTTAGCAATATTTTTTTGTCTTAAAATTGTTTTATACTTTCTCACACAGTTAATTTTTGTGGACCCCCCAAAAACAAAAGATATGCATCACTAAAGTTACATGCTAAAATTCTATTTAAATATAATTTTGTTGTTGGTTTTTGCTTACTTTTAGTCTTACCTGCTCCTATCCCCACTGACACAATGTTTTTGTGTGTGTGTATGTGTGTTTTATGTTTCTTTCTTTTTTTATTATACTTTAAGTTCTAGGGTACATGTGCACAACATGCAGGTTTGTTACATATGTACACATGTGTCATGTTGGTGTGCTGCACCCATTAACTTGTCATTTACATTAGGTATATCTCCTAATGCTATCCCTGCCCCTCTCCCCACCCCACAACAGGCCCCAGTGTGTGATGTTCCCCTTCCTATGTCCAAGTGTTCTCATTGTTCAATTCCCACCTATGAGTGAGAACATGCGTTGTTGGTTTTTTTTGTCCTTGCGATAGCTTGCTGAGAATGACGGTTTCCAGCTTCATCCATGTCCCTACAGAGGACATTAACTCATCCTTTTTCATGGCTGCATAGTATTCCATGGTGTATATGTGCCACATTTTCTTAATCCAGTCTATCATTGATGGACATTTGGATTGGTGCCAAGTCTTTGTTATTGTGAATAGTGCTGCAATAAATGTACGTGTGCATGTGTCTTTATAGCAGCATGATTTATAATCCTTTGGGTACATACCCAGTAATGGGATGGCTGGGTCAAATGGTATTTCTAGTTCTAGATCCTTGAGGAATCGCCACACTGTCTTCCACACAATTCTTACATAGTGTCTTAAGTTCTTTTCTTGTCAATCTTGTCTTTTCTGTTCTTTTCCTTTCTCTTTTCCCTTCTCTTCAATCAGACTGAAAAAAAATGGGCAAAAAATCTTAACAGACACCTCACCAGTGAAGGTGTACAAATTCCAAGTAAGCATTTAAAAAGATGCTCAACACCATTAGGAATGTGCACACTAAAAACAGAATAAGATACTATCACTCCTATTAGAATGGTGAAAATCGAAATCCAAAACCCTGACAACCCGAAGAAAGGCTGGTAAGGACGTGGAGCTGCAAGAATTCACATTCTTTGCCGGTGGGAATGAAAACTGGCACAGAGACTTTGGAAGAGAGTTTGACAGATTCTTATACAACAAAACGTACTGTTAGTATATCATCCAGAAACTGTGTTCCTCAGCATTTACCCAAATGAGTTGAAATTTATGTCCACACAAACCTGCACATCATTTTTAAACTAACTTTATTCATAATTGCCAAAAGTTGGAAAAAACAAAATATTCTTCAGTATGTGAATGGATAAGTAACCTGCAGTACATCCATATGATGAAATAGTATTCAGTGCTAAAAAGAAATGAGCTATCATGCAGCAAAAAGGCATGGAGGAAACACATTTTGCTAAGAAAAAGACGCCCATCTGTAGGATTCCAACTATATGACTTTCTGGAAAAGGCAAAACTACAGAGACAGTGAAAGATCAGGGACTGCGGGAGTTTTGTGGGGAGAAAGGAATGAATAAGTAGAGCACAAAGGATTTTTATGACAGTGAAACACCTCTTATGATACTGTAATCGTGACTATATGCCATTATACATTTGTCAAAATCCATAGAACATACAACACAAAGAGTGAACCCTAATGTAAACTATCGACTTTGGTTAATAATGATATGGGCTGGGCACAGTGGCTCACACCTGTAATTCCAGCACTTTGGGAGGCTGAGGCGGGCGGATCATCTGAGGTCAAAAGTTCAAGACCAACCTGGACAACACGGTGAAACCCCATCTCTACTAAAAATATAAAAATTAGCCTGGCGACAGAGGTTGCAGTGAGCCGATTTCAGCCACCACACTCCAGCCTAGGAAACGGAGCGAGACTCAGTCTCAAATAATAATAATAATAATAATAATACGTTGGCTGGGCGCAGTGGCTCACGCCTGTAATCCCAACATTTTGCGAGGCTGAGGGGGGCAAATCACTTGAGGCCAGGAGTTTGAGACCAGCCTAGCCAACATGGCGAAACGCTGTCTCTCTAAAAATACAAACAATTGTTGGGTGTGGTGGCAGGCACCTGTAATCCTAGCTACTTGGGAGGCTGAGGCAGGAGAATCGCTCAAACCCAGGAGGTGGAGGTTGTAGTAAGCAGAGATTGCAAGACTCCCCTCCAGCCTGGGTGGCAGAGCGAGACTCTGTCTCTAAATAAATAAATAATATGTCAATGTTGGTTCCTCAGTTGTAACAAATGTATCACACCGGTGCAGACTCTTAATGGTTGAGGAGGCTACCTGTGAAAGAGAAAGAAAGAAAAAGGGGTATGTGGGAACTATTTACTTGCTGGTCAGTTTTACGGTGAACAAAAGACTGCTGTAAAGCATAAACCTATTATTTTTAAAAAATATTGATTTCTTTATATCTTTTATGATAGTCATGCCTTGGTGTTTACAAGTTGGAAATATATTTGTATTATATATTACTTTACTTTTATTTTACATTATATTACTCTTAGGAAAGTATTTTTAAATTATTGGCTAGGTTGGGGTGGTTTTGAATTGTATTATAAGATAGTCCATGGATGAATAAAAAAAATTAGTTAACAAAAAAAGTGATTAGGTTTGATACAGTATCAAGCCATTAGAAAGGTAATTCACACTACAATTCCAGTGCCTGTCCATCCCACAGGCACTTCTGTGACTCAGATGTCTACAAGGAAGTCCTTCAGAGGAATATCATTAGCAATAAGATGATAGCCTGGGAAAAATTTGCTTAAGTGTGTAGTGATTGCCCAGAACATCTTAGAATCATTACAAGGTAATTCACAGCATTGATCAAGTTTTTACATTGTGTGCCATACTAAGTAAAATATTGAGAGTGGCTAGGAGTTTTCAGACTATATTTTTGGCATTTTAAAAAATGATAAACCTGGTGATTTCAAAAGAATAGTCAAATTGGCATTCACACATTTGTTTCAAATGTATATGGACAATATTTCTGGAGTATATTTTATGGGTCAACTTTTAGACTTCGACAAATATTCAGTGAGCATATGCAGTTTGTGCCAGGCCCTGCTGTAGGTGCTGCATTGAAGACAAGTAACAGAAGACTAACATTCTCACATGATGGCAGGAGCATGAGAACAAAGATGGAAGAGGCAATGCCCTTGGAGGCCCAGACTTCAGAACTTACATATCTGTATATTCTCTTGAACAAAGCAAATCATGAGGGCAGCCCAAGCTCAAAGCATGGAAAAAATGAGTCGACCTCTCAATCTGGCTCATCTAGTATTCTCCTGAGCCATGGGGAAGTACTTTGACTCTCCTATGAAATTTAAGAACACTAAGCTTAAGATGAGTAAGCAAAGCATTTTTTCCAGTTTTTCTTTTAGTGAAATAACATGGACATTGACCCCATTAATGTCATGGTCTAATTAAACAAGCTAATTTATCTGGAGGAGTTATAGATATTTTGTCTCATGGTCAGTGAATGCTATAACTTTAAGGTTTGTGTCTATCTCCTATACCATTCCCTCATTGTATTGATGAGAAAATCATATCTGAAAAATGCAGTAATTTTTTCAACATCACAGAGTTAATGACAGAATCAAGATTCCTGACTCTGAATTACATACTTTCTGTATCATAGCATCTTTTCACTAAAGTTTTGTTATAGCTAATGATTAGAGAAGTGAATTGATAAAAATGCTATTTATTACAATCATATTATTAAAACACTGTATACATTTATGCTTAAGTGTGCAAATTTTAAAATCAGATTTTCCAGGTTTAAAACTTGCTCTACCATGAACTATATGAATTCTATGGGCAAGCAATTTAACCTTCATAAACTTTAATCTTCTCTATAGTAAACTTTAATAATAATAGTATCTGCTTTGTAGGAATTTTTAAATAAGGATCAAATAAGATCTGTCACCTAGCACTCAGTCTGGCATAGAAAAAATGCTTAATGATTAAGATAATATTTATTAATCAAATTTGTAATCAAGACTAAATTGACACATAGTGAAAATGCTTAGATCTTAAGTGTATAATTCAATTAGTTTATAAGTATTTAAACCTATTTATAACTTCCTATAAAAATGTGGAATATTACTTCACTCAATAAATTTCTCCTGTGCCTCAACCAGTGAATTGCTACCTATTATAGGCAACTTTTGTGCTGATTTTAATCACATAGACTTATTTTGCTATTCTTGAAGATTATATAAATGGAATTAGGCAATATGTACTGTTTTTGTTCTTTGTTTAACATAATATTTTTGATATTGAACAATGAGATTGAATGTGTAATATTAATGAGTTTTTCATAAGGTTATTGCTGAATGGTATTCCATTGTATACGTATCCTGGAATCTGATTATTTGGTTTCCTGTTGATGACATTTCCAGTTTGAATATATCTATACAAATCTTTATTAGAAGGGCTTTATTAGAGATATGTATTTTGACTTAAAAAATAAATATCTTGAAGTAGAATCACTTAGTTTTATGATAAATGAGTGATTAACATTGCTAGAAGCTCCAACATATTTTGCAATTTGTTGTACCATTTTACATTTTCACCAGAAGTATTTCAGTTTTTGTTGCTCTATATCCTCAAAATAAAATTGGTGTTACCAGTTTTGTTCATTGTGACTATTATAGTGAGTATAAAAAGCAAAAACTGAAAGCATTCCCTTTGAAAACCGGCACAAGACAAGGATGCCCTCTCTCACCACTCTTATTCAACATAGTACTGGAAGTTCTGGCCAGGGCAATCAGGCAAGAGAAAGAAATAAATTGTATTCAAATAGGAAGAGAGGAAGTCAAATTGTCTCTGTTTGCAGATGACATGATTTTATATTTAAAAAATCCCATCGTCTCAGCCCAAAATCTTCTTAAGCTGATAAGCAACTTCAGCAAAGTCTCAGGATACAAAATCAATGTGCAAAAATCACAAGCATTCCTATACACCAATAACAGACAAGTAGAGAGCCAAATCATGAGGCTTATTTTGTAAGAAGTTGAAAATAATGCACATTTTATAGTTTACTCTGCAATTATTGGATGTAGTATTCTATACATGTCAAGTCAGAAAACTTCTGTTAATAATTCCAAGTATGATTATGGGATTTGTCTATTTCTCCTGCTCTCACTGCTTTTACTACATTTACTTTGAAGCTCTATGATCAGACATATAATTTCTTATAATTTGTATGTCTCCTTGGTGAGTTAATCTTCTTATCATTATAATAAACCTCTCATTATCTTTCATAATACCCCTTAGATTCATATCTACTTTCAGCCACAATTTTGCTATTTGGATTTTGTTTGTCCCATTATTTTCCTCCTCTGCTCTGTACTTTCTGCCTTCTTTTTCATATATTAAATTATTTTTTAGTTTTTGTGTTTTAATTTCTGTGTTTTTAAATATATCTTTTTTGTATTATTTTTATTGGTACTTTCAGGATTGCCATTTTCATATTTAATGTATCAAAGTCTATTTATAGTTACTATTATATCACTTCATGAGATAAGCAAGAAACTTAGTAGAATTTTATTTATCTCCAACTCCAGAAAATGTTAATAAGTACAAATTATAGGAGGCTATTATTTTGGGCTAAGCTCTTACACTAGGCCCTAACAGACCAGAATAAAAATCAAATTGGAGTAATTTATGCTAAAGTTCCAGATTACCAAACCTAAACTAAGTTGTTATCTGACCTTTAGAGAAATGAGAAGAGACAGATAACAGCCAACTTCTCAAAGAGGCCAATTGAAATCTTCAGGTGACAAGTTAATGACATTTTCTCTACTTTAATCTTTACACACACAAAAAGGTAACCAAGGCAGGGTGTACTGGCTCATGTCTGTAATTCCAGCACTTTGGGAGGCTTAGGCAAAATAATTGCTTGAGGCCAGGAGTATGACACCAGCCTGGGCAGCATAGTGAGGCTGAATCTCTTTAAAGAAAAATAAAAATTAGCCAGGTGTGGTGGTGCATACCTGTAGTCCCAGCTACTTGGGAGGCTGAAGTGGGAGGATCAACTGAGCCCAGGAGTTCTAGGCTGCAGTGAGTTATGATTATACCACTACACTGCAGCCTGGACAATAAAGTTAGACCTTGTCTCTAAAAAATAAAACAAAACAAAAGAGTTAGCTTCAAGTAATCTGATGTTAAATAATGTTATTTTTCTATTGTTTTTCCCCCTGTCCCCACCTTACAAGAAAAGTAAACTTTGAAAGGACTACGGACTCATTGTTCACTTCTGCTTCCTTCAGCCCCTCTCTATGAAACCAATCTCTTCTCATTGGAACAGATTCTACTTCATGAAATGAAGCATTGCCTAATTCTAGAATCACAATAAAACCAATTGACATCTTTAAATTCATTGTAATTTCATCCTGTGGCACTACTTTGTGCTATTGTTAACATATATTTTATATGTGTTATAAACTCAAAAATGCACTGTTACGGTTTTTGCATTAAAAAGTCAGGTGGCTTTTAAAGATATCAAGATAAAATATATCCTCTTTTTCTGTTTTCTCACATATTAACCATTTTCAGTGCTCCTCACTCCTTTTTCTAGATCTGGGTTTCCATCTGGTCTCACTTTCAGCATAAAGAATTTCTGTAGCATTATTTTTAGTTCAGTTTCACTGGTGACAGATTCTCTCAGCCTTCATTTATTTGAAAATGTCTTTATTTTGCTTTTATTTTTGAAGGATTTATTTACTAGTTATAGAATTCTATGTATACATTTTATTTCAGCACTTTAAAGATGTTGTCATCCAAAAAGCCGGCATGGTGGTGCATGCCTGTCATCACTACTACTCGGGAAACTGAGGCACAATCGCTTGAGCCCTGGAGTTCCAAGCCGTAGTGGGCAATGATTGTGCCTAAGAATAGCCACTGTGCTCCAGCCTGGAAAACATAGCAAGACAAAAAAAGAAAGAGAAAGAAAGAAAAAAAAGAAAGAAAGAAAGAAAGAAGAAAGAAAGAAAGAAAGAAAGAAAGAGAGAGAGAGAGAGAGAAAGAAAGAAGGAAAGAAAGAAAGAGAAGAGAAGAGAAAAGGAAAGAAAAGAAAGAAAAGAAAAGAAAAGAAAAAAAAGAAAAAAGAAGTTGTCATTCACTATTTCCAGGGCTCACTTGTTTTGGTAAGTCACTATATTATTGGCCTCTCTAGCAATTGTAATGGTTCATGTTTCTCTGGGTACTTTCCAAAATTTCAATGTATCTTTAGTTTCTGGATGTGTGACTATAAAGTCCCTACATGTTGATTTTACAGTGTTTACTCTGCTTTGGGTCTACTAAGCTTCTTGGATCTATATGTTAATATTTTCCAGCAATTTGGGGAAAATTTTGCCCATTATTACGTTGAATATTTTTCTGTTTAATTCTTCCTTTCTTCTCCCTCTACACAACTTTATTAGGATGTTTGATGCTATCTCACAGCCAGTATCTCTTTTATTTTTGTTTTTCATATTTTTTTAATTGGATAATTTTTATTAATCTGTCTTCAAGTTTTGCTGATCTTTCTTCAACTGCTATTCTGTAATTGCCAACCTGCTATGAAAACTTATGCAGTGACTTGTTCCTTTCAGGCCTTATAAATTTCAGTTCTGCAATTTCTATTTTGCTTAAAAAAAAAAAACATTCCAGCCAGTCTCAGTGGCTCAATCCTATAATCCCAGCACTTTGGGAGGCTAAGGCCGGCAGATCACCTGAGGTCAGGGGTTCAAGACCAGCCTGGCCAAGATGATGAAATCCCGTGTCTACTAAAAATACAAAAATTAGCCGGGCATGGTGGCATGCACTAATAGTCCCAGATGCTTGGGAGGCAGAGACAGGAGAATCACTTGAACTTGGAAGGAGAAGGTTACAGTGAGCCAAGATCATGCCACTGCACTCCAGTGCAGTGCACTCCAGTTTGGGTGACACAGCAAGACTCTGTAATAATAACAAAAATAATAATAATAATAATTTCCATTTATCTGCTGAGATTCACTACTGCTAACTTATTTGACCATAAAAATATCATTACCAAATTTTTCTTTAAGTTCTTTAACTACTTTATAGTGGCTGCTTGAATATCCTTATCTGCCAACTGCAGTATCTGGAACTTCTCAGGTTTTGCCTGTTTCTATTGACTGTATTAAAAAAATACATACCCACATATACAAATATATATGTATATGTATATATATTTATCCTATTATCTTATACTGTTTTGTGACTTTTTTAAACAATGTACAGGACATTTTGTATATCAATGACATTCTGATTTGTTATATTCTTCTGATTGATTCCTGTTGATTTTTATTATCAATATTATGAGTTAAATTATCGATAAATTAATCTTGGGGAGGATTCATTTTATACTCTTTCAGGTTGGTCAATCTCATTTTCGTCCTTAGAGTAAATCCATTGTTATAGAACAGAGAAAAGTTATGGTCCTTCTAGGGTTTTGAAGGAATGTCAGAGAGGTTTATGAAGACCCCCTCACTTATTGGAATTCAAACTTCAAACTCTGTGTCTCCTGCAGTGAGTGGCAGCTGAAATATTTGCTCAACTTTTTAAGTCTCTCAATTTTTGCTTTCATCTGGGCTTCTTGAAGTCTTTTCTCCTTTTCCACACAAAAGCAAACAAAATTTAAAGGAAGTTTACATACAGATGTGAAGTCTTATACTTCTATCTGTGATTTTCCTGCTCAAGTGAGCAGCTCTGGTAGCCCCAAAGTTTCCTCTTAAACCTCAAGCCAATAAGATTGCTGCCTTCTGCTGATTCTAACCATCCTGCATTTTTGGGATGGAAGGACTTCCTGGATGTTGGACTTTCTGTGCTAAAAACTGGGAAGTTTCCACAGGGGAAAAGCCACAAAATCTTAGATCTCATCCAATTCAATTCAATTTATTTATTTATTTATTTATTTATTTATTTATTTATTTAGACAGAGTTTTGCTATTGTCGCCCAGGCTGGAGTGCAATAGCATGATCTCAGCTCACTGCAATCTCCCCTTCCCAGGTTCAAGCGTTGCTCTTGCCTCAGCCTCCCAAGTAGCTGGGACGACAGGCACGCACCACTACGCCCAGCTAATTTTTTGTATTTTTACGAGAGATGGGGTTTCACCATGTTGGCCAGGCTGGTGTTGAACCTCAGGGTATTCGCCCACCTCGGCCTCTCAAAGCGCTGGGATTACAGGCGTGAGCCACCTCACCCAGCCTCAATTTCGTCTCTTATTGGCCATATCGTCACACTTTCTGCCTCCTTTCAGTAGCATCCTACTACTTCACATATTTGCTTATTTAATATTTTGTCCAATAGTAATAATTATTACCTACAAAATGGTCAACTTTGTCACTACCAGAAGTAGAATATAAATGATATATTTTACTTTTCCAAGTAATGAGAGATTTGATATCAACAACCAAACTTGTCCAACTTATAACCTCATAATTCACTTCTGGGTGTAGTAACTATCACAAAAATAGTAGTAATAATACAATGTCAAATTATAAGCAAAAAAAAAAAAAACTTTATTCATAGAGAATTGACTTGTAAAACAATTTTCCAACATATTGGCAAGGCCTGTTTGGATGAGTGGATTTGGGTGGTAGTTTTCTTCTTTTACTTTCCAATGTTTTTCAAATGTTAGTATAATTAAATAAATACACACACATATACACATATATGCAGCAACTTGGCATACTGAGGATTTTAAACTGAAGGAAATTGAGAAGACCACAGAAGCAAGAAGATCTTTCTGACCTTCTTCTGCACCCCTTCTCTCCTGAATCAGGCCATGGAAACTATAGAGAATTTCCTTCGCTCCTTTTCCCCTGCAGTGGGCCATAAAACCTAGTTGACCTTCCACTGAAAATAGGTCATAAGGCCCTCAACCAAGGGATGTCCTCCCTGTGCCTGGAGAAAAACAATGTCTTTATCTCTGAAGACACAGAGACATGGAGAAGAATCTGAACTAGCAGGCCTCTCTGAGTTCCCCCATTTATGCCCTTTAGATCATATCTGTTTTTGTCCAGTAATGTTTCTGCACAACTATCCACTTCTTTATTTGATTTAGCATAAAATATACAATTTTCCCTGTTTCTTTTGAGCTTTCATTTCTAAAGGCTCCCATGTCACATAGAATTTGTATGAAATAAATATTTATGCCTTTCTATTGTTAATCTGTCATTTGTTATAGGGATCTCAGACATAAAATTTGTATCGGATAGGAAAATATATTATATATTTCCTCTATAATATATACATATATACTATGTGCAATGAGAAGGTAGCATCATGTTTATCAAATAAAGGTTACTTTATTGATTATAAGTATAATCTTAAAAAGGGGCAAGAGTTTACCTCAAAGTTGATAACAAAAGTAATTACTAGATCTCTTATAAACACCAATGAATATAACACATGTTGTAAAATCTTAGGAAATATATTAAAATACTTTTTTTTCAGACAGCAGTCAGCAAATAAGAAAGATCCACAGAGGCATACTGACACCTACTAGCTATGAATGGCACAATTAAATTTGTACTCAGATACTATAAATAGTAAAATTACCTCTATGGTTTCTCTTAATATGCTGGACAAAATTCCATCATTCAATAGCTTCTAATTTATAGGGGCCATTATAAGACTGATAAGGGATTAGTATATGAATCAGTACTTTGTGAATGTGACAGCATTCATTTTCACAGCTTCGTTATGCTTGACAATAAATAAACTCACTTGAGAAACTTAACACAAAAAAATTGGAAATGTCATGTATGGTAGATATTTTATATAGTGTGCAAAAATTGCAACCTTGTGGCCTGGATGCCTACTTGGTTTGGCCTCCTTTGCATTTTAAAAATTAGAACATTTTATTCTGCAATTCTTATTTCCATTTCTTCTGGCAATTCTGACTGGAACTGAACAGTGGCAGCTCCATTTGGATGGAGTATTGGCACTTCAGTGTGCATGGTTTCCACCACTTTACTGATTCATAAACTGCCAATGTCTTCCATTTATCTCACTTGCTTGGGTTTTGTAGGCACTTAAGTAAATACACACATACACACACACACACACACACACACACACACATCTTAGCCTACAAAAGTGTGATTGAATAATTTCACTAAGAAAATATATAGAGCTATAAACAAACTAGGCTCTTTGGAATAAAAATTGTGAACATAAGAAGGGGCATGACATTAGACAGTCATAGTGATGTAGTCCTATAGTCCCAGCTACTTAGGAGGTTGAAGTAGGAGGATTGCTTCAGCCCACGAGTTCGAGGCTGCAGTGAGCTATGATTGTCCCACTGTACTCCAGGCTGGGTCACAGAGCAAGACCTTGTCACTAAATTAAATAAATAAACAAATAAGTAAAAATCAAAGAAGGGGAAAATACCTTCACGGTGCAGCAAAGAACAAGAGCATTATATAAAAAGGGGATTATGTTTGCTCTGCCTCCATTTTAGTCACAATGGAAAGAAGTCAAAACTGCATTTGAATGTGGTTTTCATTGGATTTTTGTCTAAATGCCTTAAGAATAACTCTGCCTAAGGCAGAATTATGAAGCCATGCAGGATTCCAGGTGGGTCTGTCAGGACTTTTTTGCTTCATTGTCAGGATGCATCTCCTCAGCCCATGTGATGGGCAGCAGCCACTGGTAATTCTTTCTGCTTTCCTTGGATATACTTTAGTGTTAGTGATGGAGTGTGGACCTGATTTTCTCATGTTCTATTCCTATGTCTCCTAGACTCCTTACCCAAGTTCCATTCCTGGAAGACTTTTTTCTTGCAAAAAAGGCACTTATTTTGAAACAACTCCTTGTCACTTTCCACAAAGAGCTAAGATTGTTCCTCATCACTACTACTGCTTCCTGCATACTTTCAATGTGGTATCTTGACTTTAAAGAACCATGAAACACTCCCCCACTTTATTTTTCATGATTAATGAAAGGGATTTCCTCTGTGGTGGATGAACTGGTTTGGCATAAAGGGGGTATCTTCTACATATTAGTATCTATAGTAACATTCTAGGCAAGAAAGAAGCATACTAATACCACTCATCCAAACTAAAAACTTTCGGGATTATTACCAAGAACAAAAAATCAACCCCCCACATGACAAACAGAAATCCCTTTGCATTGTTAAATGACCTCCTGATTATACCCCTCTGCCCACCCTTCCTTCAAAAAACAGCCCTCCTATTTTGTGATGTGTAATCTTTATTCAAGCAGCTATCCCCACGCAATTACATTTGTCAAACTTCAAGCAGTTTTGTGTCTGTGCATTTTCACTGGGGTTGGAGAACTGACAAGGGAGGAATGAATCTTGAGTAGCATAGAATTTCTCCATGTCCTTTAATTCTATCAATGTTTTCTTCTCTCATTCAAATTGAATTCACCAAATCTGTCTGCCTACAGGATGACTTACTGAGACACTCACACCTCCCCCACTGTCTGCTCCCCCAGCTCTAACAATGCAACCATGATTTCTAAGACTGTACGAGTTTAAAATAAGGATTCTTGGCAGATCTGACGACCACAAACCTTCTGTCATTGATGATGTAGCTTCTGGGCTTGCTAAAGCATCTCTTGTCCCCATGAATGCCAGTCCTTGCATGCTGGTGTGTGCAGTAAAGGGTTAAAAAGCTTTGGAAAGACACCACGCATGTGTTAATTCGTGCTGCAGCAGCGTGCATCACTTCCACTTTGACCTCATAGTTAATCTGCGTGATAGTTAATCACGCAGAGTCTCTAGTGATTTTTTTCCTATTTATTTTAAATACACACACCCACAGGGCTCTGCCCCCTGTAAAAGAAAAAAAATCAAAACAAACAAATAAATAACCCCAAAGAGATGGACCCAGGGGAGAACGCGTAAGTGTGAGGGGCATGAGTATACACGAGTGTGCGTGTCTTTCCCTCTCCCTTATTTGTCTCCGTATGAGTCTCTCCTTGTACCCTCCCCCTGCCTCGATGATATTACTCCCCCAGACTTGGAAGCCGCTGCCAGAGTGACGCTTTGATGGTATCTGCAAGCGTTTTTGCTGATCTTATCTCTGCCCCCTGAATATTAATTCCCTAATCTGGTAGCAATCCATCTCCCCAGTGAAGGACCTACTAGAGGCAGGTGGGGGGAGCCACCATCAGATCATAAGCATAAGAATAATACAAAGGGGAGGGATTCTTCTGCAACCAAGAGGCAAGAGGCGAGAGAAGGAAAAAAAAAAAAGCGATGAGTTCGCCAAATATATGGAGCACAGGAAGCTCAGTCTACTCGACTCCTGTATTTTCACAGAAAATGACGGTGTGGATTCTGCTCCTGCTGTCGCTCTACCCTGGGTAAGATGTGCCCTTTTTGGCGTCGTTTTGTTCTGAAGAGGTGGGGGGAAGGTGTGGGGAGGGGTAACTCGGGAGACCACCCAGATTTAAAACACTCTCCTAGGATGTGCGGCTTTACAATTTAGGAGAGAGCGAATATATGGGGCGGGGACTGGAGGGAGGAAAGTGGAAGGTCACTTTCGTTAATGTATTCATTTATTGGATTTTATTTTATTTTTTGTTTGGTTTTAGAGTGGAAAAGGTAACCTCATAAAGACTAAATATTTAGGGAGTAGCATTTTGACATTATTGCAATCTGATATCGGAGTGGGCTGTGCTGATACACGCCGGCATTTGAGGCCGTGTTGCAAGCATTTTGGGTGGGGGTCTGATGGAGAAATTTACAAATGGGTCCTGGCGCACACCGGAGAGATATGTGTGAGGGAGCTGGGGGGAGGGGCGGCGGGCGGCCCTGTTCCTGTGTACTAAGGCATCGCATGCTTCTGCACCTGGCATTCTTAAGGTCAGTCAGCCAGGTTTTGCATCCAGTCCCATTGACCCAACAGCCAACTACCCGTGTGCAAACATGGTTCAGCACCAGGGACAGCAGTCCTGGTGAGGGCCAAAGGGATAGAGGCTTGTCTAACCTGATAGAACGTCTCTAAATATACTCAGGGCATCCACAGAGTCAGAGAGAAGGCCAATGAAGCCACGGGGCACTAATGAAATATACAGATCCTGATCTGTTTACCTCTACTCCCTCCTTGATATGGGAAGGGGACTATTGGGCATAGGGTGGAGAACGTAGTTAAATGATTGCATAGGGGAATATACGTCTGGAAAAGAGTTGGCCTTGCTGCAGTGTTGGAAAATATGCTGAACCAGGTGAATGTGATGCCATAATCGTGAAGTACACATTAATGTTTTAAAACCTTGCTGCACTGAATAGAAAAAAAAAGGTAAGGCTGGAGACTGGACTCCTGAAAACCCTGAGAATGTGTATGCCCTGAAGTGCCCGGCATTTAAATTTACTTGAACTTTCCTGAGCTAAGAGTATTAGAGGAGCAACCATCCATGCAGCCTAGCTGACTATTCGTCTACCTACCTAAGCACCTTCCCCGCTCTCCAAGCTTTCTAACTAGGACCAAAGCCATGTTAGAGGTCCACTATTTACATTACTTGCATTCTTCTATACTTTCATTTTGAAATAAAGTTCTATAAATATACCTCTCATATCCTACCAATATAAAGAAAGACACAAACAAAAACTAGCTATAGAAAATATCAAGACAGTGCCCTAACATTTTTTTGTGGGTCGACAATCTTACATGGTAGTTGTAACAAAAGCAGCTGAAAAGGATGGAGGTTAAACTAGTTTTTAAAAAAATTATTGAAACTAGGCAACTTCTCTGGCCCCCTCTTCTGTAAGATGGGTAATAAGACAGATAGATTTATGATAAAGAGACCCAGGCAAAACAAAGAGTGAAAGCCTCACTTTGGAGTTTCTAAACAGAGAGAGGGTCTGCTTAACTCTTCCAGCACTTTTTGTACCTTACTAATTTACTATAAAAATAGAATGTATTTTCACTAGGATTATAACATTTCAGTAGCTTTCTCAGAATATGAGAGGGCCTTTTACTGGAAACAGTCTTATATGTAATACAATTTGGTGAAATCCTGAAAAAAGTAATTTTTTGATTCAAAATTTGAATTCATTTTTATACTTAAGGTTGTGGATAGCTATTAATTTGTTTCGGAAATTAGAAAACAGTTACTTACTAAAAGAAAATATCTTTCCCCTATTTCTACCATTAATGAAACCTGTGGATTAAAATCTAGACAAGACACAAGGGAATGTCTTTCTTTTTGACTCATCTCCATCTTAGTAAACAGTTGTCTAACTTAATAGATAAAATATTATGTATTTTCTCTCCAGTAACCCTATTTTAACCTAAACATGTTTAACTTTACTATAGTTTATAAGAAAATAGTATTTAAGATGTCTTCTTGTTGCCACAGCCCCACCTTTTCCATTTCAATGTCTTATACAAAGTAAATTTGATGATACATTTTAATTTTCAATTTGTACCAGACTATCTTAGATGAGTTTTTTAAAAGAGCTCTATAAATATGAGCTATCTGTAATGGAAACTCCCAAAAGTGGTAATTTTTACATTCTCTCATAGTGACAGAGAATGGAGTCATTGCTGTTTGGTGCAGAGAATGTGATCAGAGTTTCAGTCTGCTGCAATCCCATAAAAAAAGTCATTTGAATTGTTGAGTAGGACTGGAGGTAAATAGAAGCTTTGATTTATAAAGTTGATCCTGAGGAAGGACAATAAATAACTGGGAAATATTTGAGACATGAGGAGTCCATAGGAAGTGGTACTTATGAAATAATACTTTTGTGGTAGACAGTAGTAGCAGAACCACCTAGAAAGTTAAAGATAAATAAAAAAAAAATTGGTTTTTTATTTATGTAACTCAAAAGATTGTTTTCGCCCTCATTAAGTGACAAAATTTATTAGTCTATGTCTTTACAAAAGTGAAACAAAGAGAAAAATAAAGCATCGTAGTGAGAATATTAATAACTAATATCTCTTCTTATAAGTGAAATAGTTAATTTCTGAAACCCAAAATTTTTGAAACATTCACATAGCTTGTGCTGTCATAAAAAATAACCTGGGGAACTTACTAAAATGGAGATTCCTACACTATACACTGAATGCTTTTGAATCATTATGTCTGGGGAGAAAAGGAATATTCAACAGGAGTATTTTCAACAAGTACCCTAGACCTCACTTTGAAGAAAAGTGGTCTATACTTTTCTGATTTCCAAAAGTTTATCATCATATTTAATATTTAAAGGTGTTTTGATTATTCATACTTTATTATTCAGTTGGGCAGAATGAATCAATTTAACTTCAATCTTTTATTTGTATGTAAATCATTGAGAATATTATACATATAACAAAGCATAAGGAATAGTATAAAGAATACACCAACATTAGTTATAAGAAGATATTGGCTCCAAAAAAATAAAACATATATACATATATAAATGTGTATGTGATTATATTGAAAAACTATATATATACCACATATATATGCATAGAGATTTTAAAACAAATCTTATAACTTTATAAACTTTTTCAGTGTAATTTTATTCCATCTCAGAGTAAAAATACCCTAAAGGGAAAAAAATATATAGAAAAACATAAAAAATAATTTAGAGTAAATAAGAATAACTGAAACATAAAATGTTTTTATTTTATTAGAATAAAACAAGATTTTGTAATATACTTAGAGTGACAAATAATTATTTTTCAAGGATAAATTGAGCAGAAATAAAATGGACTGAATTTTTGATGATCTGTCTAAACTTTACTTTTAAGTGCTCATTCTGAATTTTTAAAAAGAAAATACAGTTAATGGTTTATACATATTTTCTATTTTTATCTGCTACCTAAACAAAGATGCTTTTGATGATGTTTCTTATGAGCTGCTAAAGTGTTTTTATTCCATAATTTTATTTTACATGTTTCTTTAACTGGCTAGGACTATGCATGTAGAAAAAAATATTTTGATTCTTCAATATACCCTTATTTGTTTACAGAATTAATCTCTACAGACAAGCTTGTCATTTCCTGTCTTTCTAAATGCCCCATCTGGTATCCACCAGAAAAATCTTTATTTCCTCAGCGTACTAAATTGCTTTAGTTGTAGACAAAACCCTTCAAATAGTCTATCCTGAGGTAGACTGGGTAGACTATTTGAATGGTAGGGACTCTACCTTTCAAATTCAAAAGGTTACCCTGAGGCCATTAACCTGAAAAAAAAAATAAAGAAAAACAGAACGTAAATACTCATCACCCAGTATTTCCCAGAACCCAGTCACCCACTACTACCTAAACAAAACACCTGAATTGTAGGCAGAAGTTGAAAATTGGCTTGTAATTTAAATAATGAGTTATATAAATGTCTCTTTCACGTCCTAGATTCATTTAGATCAGGTAATTTCCTCAAAATAATTGATTTAAAGCATATATATTTTAATGATAGAGGTCTCTGTTCTATACTTCAAAAAATTGTTTCATTCCAAGGATTTCCGTTCAGATTGGAAGGAAGTTAAGACTAATTTTAGATACTGTATCTCTTTGCTATAAATATTATGTTACTAGGGTCCTGGCTACCTCCCTACTACAATTTCCCAGCCATTCCAAGACAGGCTTTTCAGTTTAGGTACAAGTAGGCTTTACTGGAATTATACATACTTATCGTTCTCCAAACACTTCTGCCAAATTGGCTGATTAAGAAGATTGAATTATAATGAAAAGTTATAATCAGAGTAGTTTGGAGATTGTTTGACCACTGTGGGTGTCGGCACAATTCAAATGCTTAAAGATTCATGATTTCAATTGAGATGAATATTCCAGATGTGATACTTTATTCAGGTAGACATGCAGAAGACAATGCGTCTTTCTGCTGCCAGGGGATCAGACACCTATGTGACCTCTTCAAAGCCAGAAACCAAATAGCCATAAGATAATATCAATTTTATGCGCTGCTTGTGTCATGTTATACATACACACTGAATCAAATAATACACACAAACACAAACACACATACACAGACACAATCCTGTGACTCCGCAAAGTATTTATCATCAACCACATTTGAGAGACTAGGAAACCAAGATTATAGATAGATTAAATGACTTACTTAAACATAATAGATTAGAAGCAACATACTATAATAAGTATGAATGTGGATATAAGTAAACATGTATACATATATAATGATGTTTATATATGTGTATACATATGAATCATAATAACTTGGGTTTTTAGATCTGTCAATATTATCTTATGTGTTTTTTTAATCAGTTTGGGGTCTCAATCCATCAATAGTGTTCCTAGAAGTGTAACAGGTAGACTGGATGATCTATAAGTTATTTACTAGTTTTAATATTCATGATTCTCTCATTCTGTCTTCAGTTAATAGAATCTACAACAGATACTTTACATCCATTCAGCCCACTGAATAAATCAAAATGTCGAATCTATAGAAGGACATGGTTTAAGATACTCAGTCTCCACCAATAACATCACTATTACATTATGTTTTTTTGTTTTGATTGAAAGGTCTAGACAGAAATGCTTAGCAGCAGTCTGAAATTAGGTTTTTTTTTTAATATAAGAGCATATTAAATGGAATTATTTAGAGCTGAACAAATATTATGTTTAGAATATATATTTCCTCATTGTTTGTGTCTATGTAAGTAAAGCATAGTTTAATCTGCACTTAATTATTCATCCAGAAACTTAACTATAGCATGTCATTCCATTTTTAAAGAGGAGATCTTGCTTTTTATTGAGCAAATCTATAGGAAACTTGCTCAATGTTGTCCTCCAGTTTTCTTACAAAAATTCTTAGAAAAGTGGAAGACAAAAGTGAAGCAACGATACTCAATATTAAAGTAGAAATAATATTACAACTTCATATTTGGATATGTATAGTTTTAATATATAGATATTCAAAGATGACATATTTTTAATCACCCCAATCATACTAGCAACTGGTTAATTAATGTTACTATGTGGTAACAACAGAAAAGCTCTTATGTTTTAATTTCTAGAGTAATAAGAAGCTATAATTTCTAGAAAGTAATAGGGATTTTACAGTTTTACAGAAACGTTTGCATTCACAGTTTTATTCTCTCAGTAGACTCATGAATTAGATGAAAAAGATAATATTTTCTTCTGACAACTGTAGAAAATGAGATATTGAGAGATTAAGGGACTTCTTCAAGGATCCTTTACTATTGGCTGTAGAACAGAGTTAAGACCCCCTCCTTGAATTCATAGCGCAATACATCACATTGCACAAGTATAGTCACCCCCCGGCTTTTTTTATCTAAATGTAAGAAAATACTTTGGTTGTTTAGAGATGTAAAAGTCCTCTCTAACTTGCATTACTGGGGAGGGTTATTTCCCATTCATTTGTCCCCCATACTAGAGAATAAATTTCCTTTAAAAAAGGAAATAAAAAGCTCCTTTCAAGTTACACATTAGTGGTTTAGGGTAAAAATAAAACTTAACTCTAAATCATATTAATCCCTACAGTATTATGATATAAGAGCACAAACTATGGCAATAATTCTATATTATTATAAAAATCATTGTATAACTCTGCATAGATAAAATACCATGTAAATGCTAAATAAGTAGCACTGATACAACACTCTCCACCCATTCATAAAGAAAACCATGTAAGTACCAAACAACATAATCGTGGAGAAAACAAGGGTTGTTTTAAAGCAAAGATCCTTTGTTATAATTGAAACCCTGCCATGAACCCAAGTGTTGCTGTAAAGCCAAAGTCTACCTAGTAAGACAAATATACAGTGTGTATTTGCTTAAATACATCTAAAGAAATTGCAGAACTTACTGTATATTTATATAAATAAAATGGCAAAAACAAGCTGAATATAATATGTCATTATAATCTTGATAGGAAAAAATGATTGATGCTTTCACGTGTTCTTTTTTTGCTGGTTATCAGTTCTTTTTTATAAATTGCTTTTGAAAACACACTTGAGATACATAATTGAGGAAAGCAACTCTAAACATAAAAGTAGAAATTAATGTATAATTTCTTAATTAATTTATGAAACGAATATCATTTGAGCCAATTCTGGGATTTTTGCATTATAGAGAATACAGGCCAAATTTCCCCAGGAATTTTCTAACCACTCTTGTTTAGAGAATGCTAAGAGGTTGTAAAAGTTTTTGTATTTGTAGTAGAGATAAGAATTGGCCTCTTAGTCTTTTTATGGTGGACATTTAAGAGTGAATTACCTGATTTCCGTAGGCAGAAGTGGAGCTACCTCCCACTATGGTAGGAGATAAGTAATTGAACAGTTCCTTCTATTGCTAAACAAATAACCCTCTTCCACAAGTACTCCTCTGTCATTTAATCCTTAAACTTCTATCACCTAGCTGCGAGGAGGGGGAAGGAAAGAAAAGGCACTGAGGGTTGTTTTACTAATATTTTATAGAAAGTTCTATTCCTTCTTAGCAGTGTACCACATCTATATTAAATGAGAATATGATGTTTGTCATCTTCTTTTCTCAGTATCGGGAAATTAGTCATGATAACATAGGGAAAATTTTGTATAACATTGTGTTCCCTGTGCAATGTGTTTCACATATCCACTGATTAACTCACCTTTTTGAAGTTTTTGCTCAGAGCTCACCTTCTCAATAAAGCCTGCACCTACCACTCAGTGTAATATTGCAAACTCCACTCCACCTTGTACTCCTAAGTCCTCTAATCCTCTCTGCTTTACTTTGCCCTAGTACTTACTTATAGCCTTTAGTAATTAATCAGAAAAAAAAATGTTATTTATTGGTTTATTCTTTTTACTTTTTGATTTTCTATCTCTCTCAGCTAGAAGCCAGGACCCACAACAGAAGAGATGCCATTGATACAACTCACCTTTCATAGCATGCCTAGCCTCTAACGGATGTTCAATAATTATATGCTTAATTAAGTAATAAAAATTGCACTCATTTTCCCCCAAATTTTATTCTTTTCCTAAAAAGGAAATATTTTCAACTTTTTTTACAGTATCTCACTGTAAGTCAGCATATATGGCTGTCAGGAAAAAAAAATAAAAGAAAATGAACAAACAAACCGTTTCCACAGCATAGTATACTTGTTAATAGCATAAGCTCTTCAGACACACTTGATCAGGGTTCAGTTTGATGACCCTCAGTCAACCAGTTTCACTCTGTCTTTTCATATTAAAAAAGGAAGATTTGGGAAGCTGAGGCAGGAGGATCGCTTGTGCCCAGGCATTCCAAACTGGCCTGGGCAACATGGTGTGACCCTATTTCAAGAAAAAAAAAAAAATTAACTGGGTATGGTAGTGCACGCCTGTGGTCCTAGCTTCTTGGGAGGCTAATTCAGGAGGATCACTTCAGCCCAGGAGTTCAAGGCTGCAGTGAGCCATGTTTGCACCACTGTACTCAAGCCTGGGTGACAGAGTGAGACCCCGTCTCAAATAAAAAGGAAGATAATAATTTTTCTTAAGTTTATTTTGAGTAGGAATTGATATAATACATATTAAGGGGCACATAGTTAGTGACCTTTACATGGTGTTATTTTTGTTACTCTTATTGTTATTGTTTAATACAGGACATTATTTATCCCCTGATATATCACCAGAGGCACAAGTACGCTCCCCATCCCTGCTAAACTCTGAACTTTGTGGGAGTGTAGAAGAGGGATTTTTTTAAATACAACTTTTCTAATTCTTCAGTTTCTTGCTTTGACTTGTATGAGATAAGCAAATTGGGTAGAGGTCCCTGAATTTTGAGAATGCCTGTGTAAACATTGAACTTAGTAATATCTCTAACAATGTGAAATAGCTTCTATTTAAATGAGAAAATACATCCTGTCATACAAGACTCCTTCCTGAAGATAATTTTGTCACTGTATGTAAAGAAGGATATTTTCCCAAAGACATTGTAAAACATTATCCCTGAGTTGCTAGGCAAATTTATTCAACTCATTATTCAGAGCAAACTCAGGTTGCTACTCTTGATGGTCAGGTCTATATTGGACAGCATGAAGTGGAAGCAGTGGTTGTGGAATCTGGAGAGTAATGAGGAAGGAAACAATCTAAGCTGGTATTTTGCTATTCAGGGTCATGACTAACTTTTCATTTTTCTTTGTGCCTCATACATCTGATCATATAACAAAATTCAACATCATCTGTCACCTGGGTCACTACAACACTGCCCAAAATACCTTTCTGAATATGTTTTTGCTACCTTCCAATTCACTCACCACATAATAGACTTTTCCCCTGCAACTATTTTTAAATAAAGACATAATATAGATTCAATAAATTATTCAGAATTTAATATACAGTTAGATGAAGTGTTTTCCAAATGTATGCAGTATTATAACAACTACCCCTGTGTGTGTGTGTGTGTGTGTGTGTGTGTGTGTGTGTGATGTTTCTATCACATCAGTATGTTTTATTGTGCTTCTTTAATAATCATCATTCTTCTTCTCTCCAATCCCTGCTTGCCCCTGGTAGCCTCTTTTCCAATTTCTTTCACCATAGATTTATATTTTTCTGTTGCACAACTTCATAATAATGAAATTAACAATGTGCTTTACCTTTTTAACCCAGCTTCTTTTGCTCAACATAATATTTCTGAGATATAATACTTATGCATATGAGTTCTTTTTTATTATTATGAATTCCATGGTATGAATTACAGTGCATTTACCCAGTATCCCCTTGATGCTTCTAGTTTGAGGCTAATTGAAAACAAACTGTCATGAATGTTATTGTACAAGTGTTGCTGTAGGCATCTGTTATTATTCTTGATGAAATGTCTAGGATGTAGCATAGATGTATTTTATTATAAGAAACTTAGCAAAACACTATTTCAATGTATGACAGTTTAAGTTACTTTAAGTCATTGCAACCTTAGATATCATCTGTCTTTGCATTAGTTATCTATGTCTACATTACCAGTTATCCAAAAGTTAGCAGTTTAAAATAAGAAACACGTCTTATTTTGCAGTGTCTGAGGAGCAGGAATCCAATAATGGGTAGCTTGGTAATTGCAGTTTAGGATCTCTCGTAAGATTGCAGTCAAGTTGTTTAGCAGGGTCCTGGCCATCTTAAGGTGCTAGAAAATCAACTTTCATGCTCACTCCAATGTGGCTATTAAAAGGAAGTTCCCGTTTCTTGTCTTTTGAGCTCTACATGGGGTTGGAGAGTTGGAGAGAGGAGACAGAGAGGATTGGGGGAGGAAAGGAGGAGGGAGGAAGGGAGTGGGAGAGAGGGCTTTCAAGATGAAAGCCATAGTCTTTACAAGAAAGTGTCAAAAATTATACACCATCGCTTCTGTCATATGCTGTTGGTGATACAGACCTATCCTGATGTATAATGGGAGGGATCTACATGAAGCTGATTCCTACTTAGTAGGAAGTAGCTTCTGCTACTAAAACAAAACACCATAGAATACATGGCTTATAAACAACAGAAATGTGTTTCTCACAGTTCTAGAGGCTGGAAGTCTGAGATCAGAATGCCACCATGGCTGGGTTCTGGTGAGGGCCTTCTGGTTTGCAAATTGCTCTTCTCATTGTATCCTCACAAATAGTGTTATGCCACATTAAAATTAATCAGATCCCTTTAAACACTGGGTTTATTTTCCTGTCACCTTTACAGGCATTACTTTCAGAGCATCTTACTATATATATATATATATATATATATATATTTTTTTTTTTTTTTTTTTTTTTTTTTGAGACGGAGTCTTGCTCTATCGCCTGGGCTGGAGTGCAGTGGCTTGATCTCCGCTCACTGCAAGCTGCGCCTCCCAGGTTCATGCATTCTCCCACTTCAGCCTCCTGAGTATCTGGGACTACAGGTGCCTGCCACCATGCCCGGATAATTTTTTACATTTTTAGTAGAGACGAGGTTTCACCATGTTAGCCAGGATGGTCTCAATCTCCTGACCTCCTGATCCACCCGCCTTGGCCTCCCAAAATGCTGGGATTACAGGTATGAGCCACCGTGCCCGGCCACCCCGACCTATTATTTTTTAAGCATGTCATCTTCAATACAGAATTTTCATCAGTGTGATGGCTCAGGATTTGAGATATAATTTTGTTATAGATATTTTCCATTTAAAGTTTAAAAAGTGAGGTCATACATGGAACGATATTTAACTAAGTGAATTATTGTATTTTAAAGCCTGAAATAATAAAAGTAACTTTGTCTAGATAAACAAAAGTCTACAACCTTTCAGTCACATTGCATGTCACTTCATAAAAAAATCTTTTATATATTAATAATTAAATTTATTTAATTTGTTTAAATTAAATAGATTAATATTATATAATTAATAATTTAAAAATGAAATAAAATGAACTCAGTGTCATAAAAACAAAAATATGTGAGTACTCACATACTCCTCAAAATATCTATTACAGTTGATTGTAATTTTCCAGGTACTCTTGTGGTCAACAGGCCATTTACAGTTTCCATGGTCCATGATGGAAGTCCTCTTGGGAGACTGACTTCCCTTTGCACGTGCAGCTCAATTTCTCTGATGACCAAGCATCACAGTAAATTCTAGAAACTCAAATGAGGATGGAAAGATTTCTTGATTCAATTTTAGTCTCCTTTACTTCAGGTTGTAAGTGATATATACCAAGCAGATTCTTAACAGTTGTTTAAGTTTCAATAAAATATATCAGAGAAGTGCACATGCACGTAAAGCACAAAATTAGAGATTGTAGTTTATACTCTGATTCAGGTGACCTACACTATATTATACTCTCCTGAATTCCTATTTATTTTGTTAATCACGTTTTATTAATTCCTACCCACTATGTTGCTAGCACCCTGCCAGCTGCTGAAGATATAGTGCTGAACAAGGCAAACATAATCCTTGCTCTTGTAAAGCCTATATTCTAGGAGAAGGGCATAATTTAAAAAAATAATATATATAATATGATAATATATAACACTGCTTTTATAAATTTACTTGTAGACAATGTCATACCTATGTATTTATTTACTTCCCTTATTGATTCTGATACAAGGTAATTGTGTACCCAGATATATATCTTATACTCAAACATTATTTATTTTTATTTTATTTACTTATTTTTATTGAGACAGGGTCTCACTCTGTCGCCCAGGCTGGAGTGCAGTGGTGCGATAGCTCACTGCAGCCTCTGTCTCCTGGGTTCAAGCAATTCTCCCACCTCAGCCTCCTGAGTAGCTGAGATTACAGGGGTGCACCACCATGCTCAGCTAATTTTTGCATTTTTAAACCCATAAACGCACATGATTCTGTTCATTTTTCCCCTGAAATAAGCTAACATAAGATACCATTTGGCCCTTGTTGAGCTCTGAAGTACTGTGTTAAATGTAGAATGAATATAAATGCAAGGTGGACAAATTCCTTCCCGCCTACTTCCTGTCTTCCTGTCTTCAATAAATGTTTATTGAGTTTCTAATACTTGCATGCCACTGTACTAGGAAATAGATCTTGATGTCTGGGGGAAAGCAGACAGTAAACAAACAAACTAAATAAGCTTCAAATTGTGATAGTGTTGAGGAAATAACTTACAAGTGTGGTGTGTTGAAAATAATCAAATAAATTTTACTTTGCATATACTGGCCAGGGAAGGCAATTATGAATAATGGATAAGAAGTTGAGACTATGAGAGAAGGAAAGGAGCCCAGCATGAAAATGTTGAAGGGAAGACCATTATCATCATAGGTAACAGCAGGTACAAGGATCCCCAAAGAAATAAGCACTTGGTGTAATTTAAGAATGAAAGGAAGGTCCAGGTGACTGGAAGATTGATTGAGAATGAAAAAGTCTAGGGGAAGAACTTGGGAGGCAGAAAGCTATTTCCTAATGTACGGTCTCAAAACCATTGTAAGTAATTTGAATTGCATTCTAGGTAAGGAGTTTGGATAAGGGGTAAGACTTCATATACTAATACCATCAGTTTCATTCTTAGGGAAAAGTGTACCTATATGATCTGGGGAATGGTGAGGGTTGCGTTTTACCTGCCAGTTTTCAGTTGCTTGGCAATTAACTCAAGTGCTGACTTTTAGCTTCATCAGAGTTATATAACGTGTTGTTCTACATCCTACTGCAAAATCTTAGCGAGACCAAGAACCAGTTATTGATTTTACTATTATGTCAATGATTTAAAACATACTTATTTTATGGCATTGTAATGAAATAATTGCATTATATTTAACTAATGTGTGTAAATAGATTTGTTTTTACAGAGCTAAATACTTTGCATCTAATAAATGGCAAAGACTATTGCTAAATTCCAACTTAATTATTATGATTTGTGCATTAATTGAATGTTTAAAATTTTAAGGGATTCTCATAGAGACCATTGACAAAAGTATACTTATTTCCTACCGATAAAATTTGTTATTGAACTTAATCTGTGTATAAATCCAGGCAAATAGTAAAAAAGAGATTAAAAATTGTATACAAAATTAATAGGAAACCAGAGTACTAGTTCATTAATGAAATTTTATTTCTCCCAAAAAATTTTTTAAAATTTTAAGCCCAATTATCTCATACTTTATTATTAGGAAATTTCCACAAATATCTAATGGCAGAGAATATTTTTTAAAGTTTAATGATTAGGTTACAGAATAATAGTTGTATTTTTAAGTTATCATACAGCATAATTGACCTCTTCGTGTATACTTACATACATTTTAACACATATATTTGTTCTCTTGAGTACCATAAGCACAGCCCAAATCAGTATTCTTGGTTTGAGTGGTACTTATGGTACTCACAAGAACAAAACAAAAGCAAACAACAACAACAACTACAAAATCCTTTACTCCTTAAAACTGATCTGTTACTCATCATTGAAGATTTTTCTTTCAAGAATATAATTAGAGACACATACAGTTCATTTAGCATAATACTTTTGAGATTCATCTAAGTTGTTGATGTGTCAAATAAGCACAGGAAAAGAGGTTCAACATCATTAGCCATTACCCATTAGGCAAATGCAAATTAAAATCATAATATGATATCACCACACATCTATTAGAATGGGCAAAATAAAAACCACTCTAGCAAGTCCAAGTGTGGTGAGGATGTGAAGCAACTCGAACTACATAGCTAGTATGAATGAAAATGGTATAGCTACTCAGGAAAACAGTTTAGGATTTTCTTATAAGGTTAAACATACACCTAACATATTACACAGTAATTCCATGCCTAAATATTTACATGGGATAATTAAAAACTTATCTTACAGAATAACAGATTTTAAAACACAGTGACTATCCAGCTAAGTTTTTTCCCAGAAATGCTTACGTAAAAAATGATCACATTCAGTTTTCTAGACAAAATGAAGTTTTTTTCCCCTTGAGAGTACATACTTGATTGAATTAATTATGAACTTTTCAGTGCTTATGTGTTCTGCCTTGATACTACTGGTGATTATGTACCCAATGGATATTAGAAAGACTAGAGAAAGTAATAATAGGGAAGATGGGGGAAGAAGCATGGATTCTATAAGAGCCTAATTTTACAATATGCACATTAGTGTTGCAGCCGTTTGTAAGAGATGATAATATACTGCCAGAAAAGACAGTACTTTATCTTGTTATTTCATTAAGGCACTCTCATTTTGTAATATGAATTCATATTAATTTAAGGCTTTTAGCCTTATTGTGTGTTGAAAGATCTAAACTTGTAAATCTGTAAATTACACAAACAGCCCTCTTCTATTATATAAACCTTTTTGACGTAACACATGCTTAAAATTGGTGTGAAGTTAGAATGTTTTCAAATTTCATTGGGGATTTTTTATATTGTTCCAGAATTCCAGGAACAAATGTAATTTTGGACTTTCCAAAATGGGTTCATGAAGAACTAATTTGTTCACTCTCAATATGGAACTTTTTTAAAAAAGTAATAATTCTAAGTGCTAAGAATAGTGCTTAGCTCATAAGAGATGTCTGTGAATAAACACAAATGAGTGAATGAACACAAATTTCTATAATCTGGAGTATTCATAATTCCTAGTTATGTAAATTCATATTATATAGAGATAAAAATAAGCTATTTATATAACGAGAGTAGGAGGAAGGAGGAACAAGAACAGTACTAACAACAAGAAGAAAAAATAAGAAAAGACTTGATTAACTTTTAAAGCGAACAATAAAACCTTGATTTTGAGAAAATATTTTATCTATAAAGAGTCGATGAAAACTTAGTAGTAGTCTTCTAGAATTGGCCATGACCACGAGGGCAGATTTGGCATTTGTTTACCTTGAATCTAAAGATGAATTTTTAGCACAATTTTAGAAAAGAAAGAAACAAACAAACAGAAAAGTATAAAAAAAGATGAACAAGAAAAATTTCCAGAATTATGGTCATTCAGATGTATGTACACATGTTGTTAAAACTAGTAGTGTATGAAAATGAAAATTTAATCAACTATCTGAAAAATTTTGCTCCACCATTTCAAATATCTAAACATGAAAATAAAATTGGAATATTTCATTTCCTGTCACCATAGAGCAATATGAATTTTCAAATACATTCGATACATTTGAATATCTGCCTAAATATGGAACCAGCCTTCATTTTCATACACTTGTTCTCAGTGACCTTTAAATGATTCTAAATCTGAGACAGTTTAATCTTTTGTTCATGTGTCATGTCAAAGTGCACAGAAAATCTCCTATCCATCTGTGGACTCCTTGCAAATATTTAAAAAATTATGTATGTTTGTATATATGAACGTTTTTGCTACAGAAAAAATCAAAAGTTTTATCGGTTCCTCAAAATATTTTGTATTCTAGAAGAAAACTTTCTTCTTACCCACATAAATTGAGATTTGAAAATGAATGAAGAAAAACATTGATAGAAATAACCTCAATATCAAGTTGGAGATCCTGACAGAGCTAAGTCATGTTCTACATTGTGAGAACGTTTTTGGTATTGTCTTGCATTGTTATTTAAGCGTTGTTTTTTTCCTAGCTGTTCAGGTATTTGTCTCCTTAAATAGATGAGGAGTGTTTTGATATCAGCATTATACTTTGTACTTCTTTCCATCTGCACTGTTTTCAAAAAAGAGTCTCAAATATAAGCTGTTTAATGAAGGATCAAGAAATCTGAATCTGTAAGTCACTGTTTCCCAAGTTCAACGTTTTTTGCCACATCTAAGTAATACGTGGTCATTTATGACTGAACTTTTTTCATAAAACAAAGTATTTTTTCAGTAAAATTATTTTATTTAATGCATTTAATAAAAACAATACAAACTGGAAATCAGTGTCACTTTTCATATTAGAAGACAACTGCAAATAAATTCAATGGTACCAGAACAATGTAATCAAATTTTAATTACGTATTTTGTCTCCCAGATATGCCAAGCTTGCTCTTGTTCTCTTCAGAAGGCAGATTAGCAAATTGAAAAGAGTGGCTAAAGACAAATTAGAAATAAACTGAGACTTTGCCCTCAGTATAATTAGATATGCTGAAGGAAAATTAAAAAGGGAAAAACTTTCTAATTATATGTTTCAATGTCTTTTAATACTGTACCTATGTGACACTTAATTAAAATTGTCTGTGTACTAGAGCAGATGTCCCAAGCCTTAGGAAATGCTAATACGGGGCTATCTTAATATCACAAAAATATTGAAGATGATGCTATTTTGAATTTTCAGTTTACCATGAAACACTATAGCAAGTGACGTCTGACTTACCTAAAAGCAGTTACCAAAGTAATTATTTACTCTAAGAAAAGAAAGTCCAGGTGGTTCTATCATACTCTCTTGCAGTAGCTCTTAATTACGGCTGCACCTTAGAATTAGCTGAATACCAAAGTCTTGGTCTCATAGAGACCAATTAAATCAGTATAAGGTAGGATTTCAGACTGGCATTTCTTTAAAGCCCTCCACTTAATATTAACATACAGCCAGGGATAAGAGTGACTAGCCTATGTCTTATTTTGAAAACTCAGTATATGCCGCACCTTGCATATTTGTAATATGTTAGTCATCATATAAATGAAGAAATACAAAGTATTTCCTACTTGATACATTTCTTGATGGTAAATAATTACGTCCTTCTCTTTTATGGTTTGCATATCTTCTCTGGTTAAAATTGGTCTTGGATTTTCATAGAACATGGCAAGAAATGCAGTCAATGTGTGTTTCTGGAGTGAAGGAGAGGAAGCCTTCTTTATTACACTGACTTTGTCACCATGTTATCATTATAGTCCAATAACAAGTATAGTGTATAAGTTCTACCATTTGATAAAAAAAAAATGCTGCATGAGACTAACGTAATTATGAACCCACTTCAGGTTACTGCCTTTAAAACTTCCATGTTAGTGTGTAGTGTGCAAGACAAGCTGTCCCAGTTTTCCCAAGGTCATGCAGGTTATGAGGCCGTCAATATTGTATGTAGTGATATTTCACAAATTTGCATTGTTGTACGATATTTCATTATATGCATATGCCATATTTTATTTACCCATTTTACTGTTGATTTGAGTTTTATTTATTTCTGTATGTGACAAATAATGCAACTGTGAGCTTCCTTGTACATATATTAAGTGGAACGAGGTCATCATAGCTTTTATTCTGTAGCAAGGTATACACAAATGAGAAAGTGAAAATACTATTTTTAACATGTTGTAAATAATTCTACTGAAGTGCTTTATAAAGAGATAAATGAGAAATATTCCAGTTTAATAATCATTTGTTAACATTTCTTTCTAACCACAATTTAACATGCATATTTTTCTTTCTATCCTACCCAGCATCCATGGACAGTTGACATGACTTTAGGATTTGTTCTTGTGTTAACCTTGGCTTGCTTTGTTTCTTTTTTTTTAGTACTTTTTTTTCTTCTTTTTTTTTTTACTTTTTTTTTTTACATTTATTTTGAGTTCAGTGATACAAATGCAGGTTTCTTATATAGGTAAACTTGTGTTATGGGGGTTTGTTGTACAGATTATTTCATCACACAGGTATTAAGCTTGGTGCCCATCAGTTATTTTTCCTGATCCTCTCCCTCCTCCTACCCTTCACTCTCTGAAAGGCCCCAGTGTGTGTTGCTCCTCTCTATTTGTCCATGTGTCCTCATTGTTTAGCTCCCACTTATAAGTAAGAATATGCGGTATTTGGTTTTCTGTTCCTGTGTTAGTTTGATAAGGATAGTGGTCTCCAGCTCCATTCATGTCCCTGCAAAGGACATGATCTCATTGTTTTTTTATGGCTGCATACTATTCCATGGTGTATACGTACCACATTTTTTTTTTTATCCAGTCTATCACTGATGGGCATTTAGGTTGATTCCATGTCTTTGCCATTGTGAATAGTGCTACAATAAACATACTCGTGCATGCTTTGTTTCATTATGGTCTAAAAAATATTTTAAATACATGTCATTTGAGTTTTCCCATGCAGAGAATCATCAGCACTTGAAGAGAGCAATGGCAACCATACAATAGCATGTTACATAGGCAGCTCCTTTTAGTATTAACTGTAATTGTTACATGGGCACATATAGAAAGAGAGTGAGCCACTTACTAAGTTAATTTCCACAAATATTGAATCTTCTTTTAAAAAATTCATACTCATATTTTGAAAACTATTCATCGGGTGTCTTGCCAAATGCCCAACACTTACAAAGTTTTAGAAAACAACACCTTTGAAGACAGAAGCAGTTCTTGTCCTTAGATGCTTAATGCTCTGCTTTTAACCTCCATAGCTAAACTTGATTAGTTTGTTTTCTTATGAAGTATTAATGTTATAAAAAGCATATAAGATTAAAATATAACTCAATGCATTATCAAAAATTGAAATAAAAACCCATGTAATTGCAAAATGTGTCTGAAAATAAAATATTGCCAATGTCCCAGAAAACGTCTTCTTTCTTTCCTAGTTTCTGTCCTCTTTCTCTTACCTCAAATAACTGCTGTCCTAACTTTGAGCACTACAGATAATTTTTCTTGTCATTAAATTTTATGTAACAGAAGTGTTACATATTTGCCCATGTATATAATGTCTAGACATCTTTTGCTCAGATTTTTATTTTTCAAATTTATTTTGCTGCATGTAGCAATATTTCACAAATTTGAACTGTTGTACAATATTTCATTATGTGCATAAGCCATATTTTATTTATCAATTTTACTGTTGACTTGAGTTCTATTTTTTCCTGTATGTGACAAATAATGCAACCGTGTACTTTCTTGTACATGTCTTTAAGTAGACGTGTGAATGCATTTTCTTTTGGAAATAATCAATAGATTAAATTTCTGGGTTATAGAGTACAGAAAATGTTCATTATTAGCAGATAATGCCAAAATATTTTCCCTCCAGCAGTATAGAGTCCTAGTTTCTCTACTTCTTTTCCCTTTTATTTAAGAAGGGTTGAAGCAAAGAATAAAAACAATAAACTATGATAGGGAGGTGTAATCCATAGAAAATGGACTCTAATGATAATTTCAGAACATAACCTGACATTGATTATTTTTTTCTGTTCTGTTCCCCACAATGAGCATCGTCACTGCCTCTCCACGTTTTCCCTCCTCACCTTCTGAACTAACATAATTTTAATTTGGTATCTGTGAAGCTCATGCGCTTTTGGGGAAGCTGTTTTCATATTTTATGCTAGTGGTAGGTTTATATAATGAAGGTTAAATATTTATCATTTTCTCATTCTCTAGCCACTGATATCAGTTTCATGTGGCTGATCTCATTTAGGCTAGTGATATTAGAAAACAGGAGGCTTTTGGGGGGCTTTTAGAAAAGTGGCTATTTTCCTCTTTTAGAGAGAGCTTTTGGAAAAGTTTATCTTTCTGTTTTTGTGGATACATACAAAGAAGCATAGAAGGGAAAAGTTGTTGCCAGAATCTTGTGACCACATAGATACTTCTTTGGGTTGAAGTCAATGCCATGGAGGATAGAAGAGAGAGATAGAAAAAATTCTAAGATTTTGAATACGTAGTTAAGGAACTGAGTCGAAACTCCCAGAAGCTCATCTTACCTTAGGATTTACAATTATATCTGTCAGTGTCTCCCAATTTAGTTTGAATGTTGTGATACTTACAATTGAATTCATCTTAGCTAATAAAATCCCACAGACATTTATTTGATATGCATCATTTGTGGCTGTTAATAAAGTAAACAATTTGCATTTTATATATTGCAAACTAAGTGTCTGTTAATTGATTCAGCCAAACACACCAACAGCTGTTAGCCTAATATCAAAAAAAATTAAACAGGATGTGAGGTGAGAAAGTAATTTTAAGTAGGACAATTTGTTAGCAGAATGGTTTACTTTCCTGCTCTAATTCTACCCTGTTTGCATGTATACACTCACATGTGCACACTCATGCATAGAGCACCCTCTGAACAGGTTCTGCATAGAGAATTTGCATGTCCTTACTGGGAGGAATAAAATCCCACAGGCCATTGAAGGACCTATATGAAGGAGCAACTAGCGCCCCAATGGCCCCATCCATTGAACACCACTATGTCTCTAAAGAGTAGCCAGTCCTCCTGGATAGTACTGAGTGGAGTCCCCCTTCCCATGATCATATACTGAGTTCCCTTTGCCTTCTGAGGATGTACACTCACCTACTCTGCCTGTTCCTACACTGTTTACCAAAGCCCACCTTTTGCAGTGGCTGAAGGACATCCTTTAAATTGAACTAGCTTATATGTGTGCCTTGTCTCTGTTATATACATTGCTGTCCAAACAGAGGGAAGAGTTTAAATGAGGCAGATGATCACATCCATTACGTTAAATTGCAAGCTTTCCTTTTATTCTTCAGTGTGGGGAGATCAAATCATTTGTATCTGCAGTGGCAAGTTTATGAAACCTGAATGTTATTAACCTTGTGCTAAAGGCATCATGTCTTTTATTGGACTCAGGCATAAATTAATTTATTGTCCTAAGGGAAAATGAGCTGGAACAATCATTTATTTTGGATGATCTTATTGTTTAATGCATGTATAGCTGTAGATTCTTTGGTCCTAATTTCTTTCTCAAAGCCGTGAAGAATAATGGTTAAATGTTTAGTTTTGGCCAACTAAAGTGACTATTATGATTGTAACAGTGCTTCTTTATCTGTAAAACAGGAATAATTATGGGAATATCAGTGTTTTGAGGATTAAGTGAGAGAATGTATGTGAAATCTTTAAAGTTATACCTAGAACATAGCGAATATTTTTAATATTATGACTTCTCCGAGGAAAACTGGTGAGCAAAAAATTATTCCCACAAATCTTCATTGAGCACATACTCATGAAATTTATAGTTTAGTAATGAAGACAGACAATAGAGAAGTCAACAAATGCATATTGTGATAAATTCTATGAAACAATCTCTTGGTAGAACATGTGATGGGTGAGTGGGCAACAAATGTAGATAAGATAGTCAGAAATGGTCTCTACGATGGGATGTTTGTATTGAAACATGCTAATTAGTAGATTGAGGAGTGGAGCAGAGGAAAGGTTGAAGGCAGAAAGGACAGTTACATGCAAAGGTTCTGGAGTTTGGCCTGATTTCCAGAACTTAATTAATTCTCGGGTAACATGATGATGTACGGAACAAGAAATTCCTGTATTAATGATACTTTTGGGGCATGGGATTCCCAGTGGACCCTACAGCCTTGTGAGAATCTAGAGTAGCAGTGAGTCCCTGTGCATGTGGTAAAGGAAGGAATATTTATGAGATGTAAGTAGTGTATATTCACAATTTAGAGGTGACAATGGAGCAGAAAATCCAATGCATGGGAATTTTTATTAGAAAAGGTCAAAGATATCATTTTCCCGCATGTATGTCTTGATAGATTTATTTTGACGTATAAAATACTTTGCATATGAACTCATTGCACTTATAAAAAAGTAAACCAAAAATTGTACCAAGAAAATATTAGTGACACCAATGTTATGAAAGGAAACATTAAAAATATAAAAATAGTTTAAAAACACAAATAATTAATTTTTAAAATCCAACTACTTACCTGTGTTAGAGAAGGATAAATATATATTCAGTCTTTATTATGTCAAACATCAATAGATTTAAGGACACCTGAACAAACAGACAAATGCCTTTATTTCTCATCCAAATATTTGCTGTTCTACTATCCTGGGCAATGACTAGATTTTCCTCCTCTACCCCTAAACTTAGAGCTTTATTAAATATATCGAAATCTGAAATACCTAGGTGGAAATTTAAAATTCCAGAAACTGCATGACTAATCTTCACAATGGCAAATATCCAGAATATGTACCAAAATTAAAATGTCTACAATCTTGTTAAAATTGTGAGCAACCTCTCATTGAACAGTCTCTATGCAGTATTTGTTGTGTTTTATAAGCCACTTTTATCCTTCTAAATAAGATTGATTTTTACTTCTAATTACAAGTGTGAATTCCTGTTTGTAATCATGCCTAAATTCAAATTATGCATAAAACTGTAATGATGAGAATAAAAGTGAATAATCTAATATACAACATGGAGATTCAGATTTAGATCTAAAGCAGGAACGTGAGAATTTTTATTTAAAAAAAACCCATCCCAACACATACACATACACGTACACGTACACGTACACTTACACGTACATATACACATAGACATACACATACACATACACATACCATACACATACACATACACATACACATACATACAGGACCAGGAATATGTGCCACTGGTCTAACCACTCTATAACTGAGATCCTCAAATATTAATATGTATATGAATCATTTGTGAAACTTGTTAAAATAGCAATTCTGATTCCGGGGTCTGGGTGGGTCCCAGAGCTCTGCATTTCTGGCAAGCTCCCATGCAATGTTGCTGCTGTGGCCCCAGGCTCTCACTAAGGTGATTTTCTAACCATGAATATTTACAAAGACGAAAACTTCACATTCTTTTCTGACACTATCACTCAGAAACTATCACTCAGATGACAAAAATGTTTTTATTATGGTTAGTTAATTGAAGGATAAGTTTAATTTCAGTTATTTTCCTCTGTAAGAAAGTATTTTTAATTATATGGTACCAGGAGGAGTAATAACTTCTAAAGGCCATTCCATGTAGATAGGTACCTTTAGCCAGAAGTTCAAATATGTTTGCTCTCTATCCACTCAACTGTTGAGTGAATTCTTCAAATCATTATCAATCTGTTTCTGCCCAGACATTCTTATGGAGTCTACAGTTCCATAGAATGTTTCATCTAATGGTAAGACTTCATTATTCCTAGATAGCCTATCTGTGAATGCAGAGGTTTTTATGTCCAAAGCACTCTAGAGAAAGAAACAGCGTAGCTTTAATAAAAGAAGTTCCTTTTTTTAAAGACAAATCTGGAAACAGTCCCAGGTTATGCATCAGCTCCTTTAATTTAGACCTCAGCTAGAAAAGCTTAGGAGAAGAAAAAGTTCATTTATTTATAATGTAGATGGCCATTATTTTTCTTCCTGAAAAACATTTGTTTTTAGTTCTCCTCAGCCCATATTGCATTAAAAGTCTTGAAGCAGCATACATAGATGTAGGTTTTTGTTACATGTTTGAAGCTGGTGTTATAAATCTATCAGTGGTCACTTTATAAAATGATTAATATAATATTTATAATAATATTTGTTCCATTATTAAGGAATTTTGCTATTGATTAATTAATAATATAATAATTGTCATGGACTTATTTTCAGTACTGCGTGTTAGGCACTGTGCTAAGCACTTAAGCATTGTCTTAACCTTACACGGGAATGTAATATGAGAACTAATATTAAGCCTATTATAAGATGAAAACTTTGAGACTTATCAGGGTTAAATAACTTCCCCAAAGTTGTTAACAGTAAGTTCCAGGCAAGCCACAAATCCAGAAAGCAGAACTAGCATTTCCTGATTCCCAAACAGGTACTCTTAAGTACTCTATTTTACCTCTGGATGGCTAAGTAGACTCCTGAAGTGTGAAAAAAAAACTAGGTGATGACTCTGAGGGAATTGTTGGAGCAATTCTGGAAATTAGTCTTACTTCTAAAAAAGTATCCCTTATCTTTTCACTTTATGTATTTTCCCTCCTGGTCTGCCAGATAATAGTAATAACGGTAATACAGCACCATTATACTTGACTCATTTATTTGTTGGCATAAGGAGGTGCCATAAACAAACAAACTAAGCAATTTAGTACATATTCCCTTTTCTTGAAGAAAATTTAATAGGGTGCATGTGTCTTGAGAGAGAAAGAGAAAGAGAGAGAGAGAGATTTTTTGAAAAGGCACTTTTGCAAGAACAATTTAAACCGTAATATATTCTATTATGGCATCTGACGAACCTACCATATCCTTTTCTCATGAGTTATTGGAGGGATTTGAAAATTACTTTACCAGAGAGCTTTTTTATTTTCTTTCCCTAAACCAGTAAGATTTGGGTCAGAGGATTAAAGCTCTATTAGGCAGAGTTTAGCAGTGCTCTGGAGAAATGATGAATTGAAGCCCAAGAGGGATTTTTTTTCTGGCAGCACACTGGCCTCTGCTTGCGTGGAGGCTTTTCTCTCTGAGAGCTGACAGAACCATTGCCCAGCCCATTATACCCACTATGGGCACTCTGTGAAATTAATGCTCCTTTAAACTTCCTATGCTCACTAAAGTGCAAGATGTAAGACACTGGGTATGTTAGGCCTTTTGCAGATGTATTTTTGTGATGTTTCCTAGTCATACAGCTTTAAAGGAATGAAAAAAGAGGTTACTGTAATCATTAAGTTGACCCATGACAATAATTACTCTTAAGACTTCATCCTCTATCCTTATTCTCAAACCAGATTAATTACATAATCATCTTCTGCAATATTTAGTCATCAAGATCTATATATATGATGTACATAAAACATATGTGCATTCATGTGTACACACATACATACACACACAGGTATGTATATTTAACTACATTGTACATGTATATATACTTGATGACCGAGTATGAATGAAGAAAGGTGATAAATCTGGCTTGAGAATATATGAATATATACATTTATTTATTCAAGGTAAGTGTGGCAATTATGTCATAGCTGACAAAATTCATTCTATACTATATGTTTAGAAAAATAAGGTAAAGATGGGGGCAGGGGTGGGAAATGTTATATTTTAAGTTTGCATTTTTAAAAAATTTTACTCTAAACTACAAAAGTAACCAATATTCATTCAGTGTTGATAAAAATGGAAATGGCAGCTTTTGCACGGGTGTGTGTGTTGCCCCTGGATCTGGAAAATATCATCATCTTGGCGGGGTTGCCTTGGGACTTGGGTTAGGGGGAGAGGTAAGCTATAGGAATTCCAGTCCCCTTCCAGAGTCATTCTCAGGTGGCTTCCAGCCCAATTGCTGAAAGGGTTTCTGATAGGTTTGGGCATAGTGAATATAATGAAAGAATATTATGTGGCTTTTTGATCAGTTATAACAAGTCATTTCATTTCTATGATTATAGCACATTAACTATTGCATTTGCCATGATAAAGGGTGGTTTAAAGTCTGTAACATTTTTCTTCATAGTACCAGGTTCTTAACAACCAAAGATAAATGATCCACCTTTGCCTTCAGTGCAAGTGAGGGGAAAAAATACACATAAACACACCCTGGGGGAAGCAAAAGCAAAGAGATTGAGCTCTCTCCTTAGTGTTCAAGTTAGCGGGGAGAGGCATGTCTGGCAGTTTGTGGGAGGGAATCTAATTATCAGTCTCTTACTTTCATTAATAAGTTGGGGCAAGTGAACTCCTCAAAGAAGGAAAGAGCAGACATTATACCTGAATTCTTAGACTACATATGATCCTTTAACCTCCATTTTCACACAAATAGTTTTCTTATAATTCCTTCAGGAGACTGGGAAGTAGGCAGAAAGAACATCAAATATGGGAAAAGTAAAAATAACTGGCAAAACATGGTTTATTTGTCCATGGGAGGGCAAAGAATTCTGAAAACCTGAAGCGTACACTTGAATACAGTTAGTCTCCATCTATGCAGTTTAATTAGCACAACCCTCAAGGGAGAATTTTCAGTTTAAACATTTCTTTTATCCTGTTTTATTTCTTCTTTTCCACTGGTGGTCTGTGGATAAAAGTCAACTTGTGTGTAATCTATGTGTTTTTTGACCAATATGTTTTTTCTTAGCTTCACTAGCCAGAAATCTGATGATGACTATGAAGATTATGCTTCTAACAAAACATGGGTCTTGACTCCAAAAGTTCCTGAGGGTGATGTCACTGTCATCTTAAACAACCTGCTGGAAGGATATGACAATAAACTTCGGCCTGATATAGGAGGTTTGTTAAAGTCTTTTGCGTTGTGCTATAGATAGGAGCACATAAACATGTCTACTTTAATAGATAAAACATCAGTGTAGTTCAAGAGCAAGGAAGATTTAAATTATACTTTTTTATATGTTGTAAAAGTAGTGTTTAAATAGCATTCAGGCCTATGAGTGGGAGAGGTGTCAATACATTCAAAATGAAGAAATATTATTTTCAAGTGAAGCTTGAGAGCTAGAGTTAGAAATTCACATATTGCTAGATATCTCAGATAGAAGCTGTAGGAAAAAAAAAACAATGACCCCTTTATGAAGCAACATAAACAAATCAAACAAGACAATAACAGTAAAGAGAGGATATATTGTTTGCCTGTTTTTGTGTAACAAACAACCAGAAAATCTCAATGACATATGACAGTAAACATGTATATAATACTCCCCTCAGAGATATACTAATCTATGCTAAAGCAAGCTGGAGCTGCTTATTTAGGGCAACTGTACTTTACGTGTTCCTCGTTCTACTCTTGGGACCAGCAGGTAGCTAGGACAACCCTTCTCACAGTGGTAGAAAACAGCCAGAGAGTAAGTAGAAGCTCATGAGGCTGAATGCTTAGGCCTAGCACTGGCACACTCGCTTTTGTATATATATTATTAGCCGAAGCCAATCAGATGATCCAGCCCAAAGTCGAGAGGCAGAGGAATAGCCTTATCCAGGAGAAGGCAAGGATGTGAATGCCGGTTATAGAGAATTCAGTCCACCACAGTGAGTTAGGACATGACACTTTCAAGGAAAAAAATAAAGAAAAGACTAATGCTCTTGTTGTTCATTAAGAGTTAAATAAAGATGGAGACCATGCATTTGGTCATGGATATTATACTACAGATTTTTAATATCAGTCTTCTCTGAAAAATAGGTACATAATGGGTTTCCATATGGTTTTCTCATATTATCTGTGGTATCACAGGGTACAATAAATCATCAGGGAAGATTAATTTTGTGTTGGTGAGAGGAGTGTGAGGATAATGTGGTCATTAAAGGAATCAACAGGGAACTGTGATCCAAAACCAATTTATATTACCAGTTTGCTGTTTATGTCCACTTCATGTTCTGAATGCATATTTTTTTCTGAGTTATTAAGCAATTATTTTTCTATATGGGTCCAGTCAGGGACATGCTCAAGTCAATTTCAGAGCTTGAAGGAAACATGGTAAAATTCAAGATATCTGAGAGAAAGATGGAGAAAAGCTAAGAGCAGCATTTTCTAATTTATTCATTTTTATGTTAGTTTTAAAAGGATAATTGGTTTCAAAACTCTACTATGCGTGCTTGGTGCATGTGCATACTTAAGAAAGATATTTCTTTGAAAACAAAATAGTTATTCAAATGTGGTGAATTAGTAACTGGTACCAAATTAGTTGTGAATAAATTACTTCTAATGTAGCTAAATAAATCTATTCTAGAAAACAAAGATTAAAACATTAAAATCTTGCACCTCTCTATGTGCACACATTTCTATGTTTCTCTTTACAGTGAAGCCAACGTTAATTCACACAGACATGTATGTGAATAGCATTGGTCCAGTGAACGCTATCAATATGGTGAGTTTCCAAATAAAATTCTTTGTCTGTTTTATTAGCATGTTTGAGAGAAAATGTGATGTCATGGAAATAGCAAAAGACATGCCAGCAAAAAATTTAAGTTTAAAACTTTAGAAGTGAAAGATAGTCTTCCAGATCCTTTTTTTCTTGTAATATGAAGATAATTAAATGTTAAGTATTTTTATGAGAATTAAATGGGACCATATATATAATTAATTTGTGTAAATATGCTATGCTGTTGAAATTCAACAATCGGTGTTTACTTGCCAAGTGCTACTTACTACAAAATAGGATATAGTACTCAACTACTTATTAGAACATTGATAGTTTGGTTCAAATCAGAAATGTTTCTCAGATAAAATAGTGTGTCAGATGTAATAATAAATGTAATTCTGTTCTTATGTAACACTTTCTACCCAAATGTGAAATACAAAACTAGACTGGAGTCCAAAATATGATATAATAGAGAATGTAAAATAGAGTAGAGCAGAATGGAGTACAACATAACATAAGGTAATATAGTATTCTATATTATACAATATTATATATGATATAGTAAAACTATAAGTTTAAAATCATGTTTACCAAGCTAGCAATAAAGATGCTCTGCTAAGTGAGAGATTGATGTGCCAATCGAGGTGATATATCATCACCTGCATACTCCAAGCTAATAAGTTTGCTTGTTTAGTCATTAAACAAATTCTAACTTCTTTATAACCATAATTCTCAGAATATTTAGAGTTCTGAAATAAATTCTAAATATCTAAGAAGTAGAGGCTATATAGATAGTTTATTTAAATGCAGAACTTTCTTGTTTTAGGAATAACAGTCCCCAGAACTGTTCTAGGATCAAAGTTTGTGAAATAATAGTTTTAAGAATCAAAGTTTTTTATTCATGGCTTTTCTTGCCAAAATGTAGAATATAAATTAATTAATTTTTATTTCTACTGGCACATCACTAATTGGTTGACAAAGGATTTCGTAAAACAGGTTCTTTTCTCATTACTTGTAGACTGTAAAAATGAAACTAAATGATGAACAAGGGTGGAATGACTTACAGGGTAGAAATGTAGCTAATCACAGTGACACCCAGTGGGAGGTGGTGCAAGGAAAGAAAACAGAACAATGTGATTGAGGCAAAAGACTCAGGCCTAATGGTCTGAATTTCACACCATATCTGCTTTTTTTTTTTTACTGAAGTCAACCGCTCTCCAGTTTAGTGATATGTATACTTGATGGAAATAATTACAGTAATTTGTCACTATAGCATTTAAGAATGCATTTTATGATAGAGATTAACAGAGTATTATAAATTATTTTTAATTGTTAATTTCATCTTGTTTAGAGAAAAGAACAAGTAAATAGTGTAAGTAAATAGTGAAAAAAACCCTCTTCTTGGGGGTTTGTTCTCTGCCAGGCATGATGCAAAGCACCTTTTGTTGATTGCCCTTTTCTATCCTAACACGGCCTACCCAGTTAGATTCTTCATGATCCCTATTTTAATATAGGCCAACTGACTTTCCAGATCTCCTGCTTATGACTTTTTTGCATATTCTGTACTTTGTTTCACTCTACAGTGGTGGTTCTGAATCTGAACTTCTTTTTCCCTCTCAGGGGATGTTTGACTGTGTCTGGAGGCAATTTTAGTTGTCATTACTTGGCAGGATTGAGTATGGGTTTGGGGTTTGCTACTGTCATCTAATGAGTAGAGGCCAGGGATGGTTCTAAACATCCCACAATGCCCGGGACAGCCCTCATGGCAAGAAACTAGCTGGCTCAAAACAACACAATGCTCTGCTCTATAGACATGGAAAGTAAAGGATTGTATCAAGGCTATCCTCTTTTGCCAGAACTCACTTAGACAGATCTACTTTTTCATAAAAGTATCAAACATAGCTACAAAAGATGGGTGAGACAGTAACCTCCTCAGCAAAACTCTAGCTTTCTTTTGAACTATTCAAAGCCAAGATAGCTTTGCTTCATATTGGCAAAGAAAACAGGAATGAAATATACCAATATTTAAAAAGATAATCTTACTGTGTACAAATTTTCTGTTTATCATTTTATTAAAACAGGAATACACTATTGATATATTTTTTGCGCAAACGTGGTATGACAGACGTTTGAAATTTAACAGCACCATTAAAGTCCTCCGATTGAACAGCAACATGGTGGGGAAAATCTGGATTCCAGACACTTTCTTCAGAAATTCCAAAAAAGCTGATGCACACTGGATCACCACCCCCAACAGGATGCTGAGAATTTGGAATGATGGTCGAGTGCTCTACACCCTAAGGTATTCTTTTGCAAAAGGAAAGGAGTAATTGTTAGGAAGAAAACAAACAAACACAAAAATCAACCTTAAGTCTCTAAAAGAAAAAAAAAAAAGGAAATAAATTTCAAGACTGCATCAGGGTTGGCATGCTATCAATTAGTATATGACATCAAAACATTAGTTTTTTCTTTTTGTTATCAATGAGCTTTTTCAAAGCACTAATTATAGGCAAAGCTTATTTTCCACAACTGCTGTGAAAACTATTTTTTGTCACAACTGACCTGAAATTTCCTTTGTCTTGCAAGATCATCTGACCTTTGCACCTACGCTTTGCACTCTTATGCTTGGCAATATCTTCATTTCCAAGGAAATAGTTGCTAAAAGAGAATTTTTGAGGTGTATGTCTCCATACATCCTTCTCTTTTTAGCTTCACAATAGCAGGCACCTAGAATCTATTATCTTTCATCTCCTGGCACCCCACTTCCCATTATGTTAATAGGCTATTTAAATTAATTTGTTGTCTATCTTGGGAATAGACATGGGAGAAAGTTGAAGGAGCTATGGTTCAGCCTCTGAAATTAAATTCTGAAATTAAATTGTGAAATTAGAGTAAAATGCTACCTTAATAAAATAATTATTTTATGCCATTACCTTAGCACTTCATACTTTGCATTTAAAACATTTTTACATTGAATTTTCTCATTGGTGGGAATACATTATTAGACAGAATAATAGATAAGTACATAGTCTTACGAATCAGACATCCGACTTTGGTTCTTAGCTCTCTCTCTTACTATCTGTAGGAACTAGGGCAACGCTCCAGCATTTCTATATAAAGGGACTTAGGGGCAGCTATCTGGTAGCAGGACTTTTAGTGTTAGAAGCTTTGTTTGCATAGTAAGCATGATGTTTTTACATGGTTATGTTTTTATTTAGAAAAATTAAGTGAGAACTGATGGAAATTATTGGGAAAGAAAGCACAACCATGCTGTCCCACCCTGTACTGCCTCTCCCCCGACCTTGACATCACAACTGAGCAAACTCTTTTACCTTTCATTTCTTTAATTTCTATAAAACAGATATAGTTCTTCTGACCTTACGGAGTTGCTATAAGGACAAAATAGGGTGATAAGTAAAGTGATTAACATAGAGCCTGATATATAGTAAATATAGAAAATATTAAAATTATTTATACATTTTCAATCAAAATAAGAATAATGCAATTCTAAATCTTCATATCAAATGATTCATGTTAAATGTGCTTGCTCAACATACAAAATATAATACTTGAATAGGCTCCAAAATCTTTATTAATTATATCAGTTATTAGAAAAAGCCACAATTCCAAAATAAATTCATTCCAGGCATTTTATATTTATCATGGCTTTTGTAAACTTAGAGATATAGTAATGACTGAGTTTATTTTTATTTATTTATTTATTTATTTTGAGACAGGGTCTCACTGTGTCACCCGCTGGAGTGCAGTGGCATGATCTGGGCTCACTGCAATCTCTACCTCCCAGAGGTTCAAGTGATGTTCCCACCTCAGCCTCCCAAGTAGCTGGGACCACAGGCACGTGCCACTACACCCTGCTAAGAATTTTTTTGTATTTTTTTGTAGAGATAGTCTTACTATGTTGCCCATGTGGTCTTGAACTCCTAGGTTCAAGCGGTCCTCAACTCAGCCTCCCAAAGTCTGGGGATTATAGGCGACAGCCATGGCATCTGGCCAATGCCTGAATGTAGAATCTAGTGGGTACAAAATTCGCCTGATACATCAGAGCTCAGTCCAGCTTTTGAAATATGAAGCCAATCATACTATCTCAAGTGTCTTTATTGTTCTTATAACATTGTAGTCATTTTGGGACTTAATTTATGGAATCATTACATTAGTTAGTTATGAAAGCCACCTCAAAAGTGTCACTAATGGAGATTCAATCAAAGCTTGAATGGTTACCAGTCTACATAGAGAGATGATTTTGTTCTGGCTATCTAAAATGAGCTATGAGTGTGTTTGTGTGTTTTTGTGCATGCCCAAAGACATTTAGATCTGTATCTATGTTTGTATCTGCAATTATATTATTTTCAATTTTAATAATTCCAGTTTAATTTGGAGTAATAATACTAATAAAATATCAAGTTTAATTGTAGCTTCCTTTATGAATAAAACTATTCTTCCCTTTGAAGAGCATATAAATATATAGTAACAATGATTAAAACCTCCAGCTTTGAAGGTAGATAATCTTGGGTCCAAATTTCAACTGTGCCTCTTGTTATGTGACTTTGGACAAGTTCAGGTACAATAAATGCATAATAATACTTATTAAATGAGGAAGCAATTCACTCTACCCAGTGCTTCATAGTTAATTAAGGTCTCAATAATTATTAGATATATTTTAACATCAGTAATTGCTCCGTTATATCATAGAATGATAGATTCTTAATTCTGTTCAATTAAAAATTATACTAATTAGAAAATCTCTTAAAAATAAATTTTCCTAAAATAATACTTTCCTTACATCAATAATATCTGTACAATGTAAGAGATATAGCTAAAAATATGAAATTTTAAAAATCATCAACCCATTACCATTACAATTTGAGATTATATTCATATTTACCCAAAGGTGGTCAAGACATTTGACTTTCAAATCTTCTCCCTCCTGGAGTTCCAGCCCAGGACTTGAGACTGAGAAAATCTGTATACTTTAATAAGAACTAACTAATAAGGCATAAACTAATTAAGATTTACTGGCAAACATTTTTCAAATATGTCTGTGTATGTGCTTTTAACATTTCTTGTTTTCCATTAGATATTCTTCTACTCTATAATATCCTATTTAATGACATCTTCTGGAAGATCCTAGTGACAGTGTAGTGTAGAATTAATGCCACACCATTGTGCAACACAGGTATTTGTACACTCACCTTTAGCAATTAAAGCTAACAGCTAACAAGTTCTTACAAACAGAAGGTCCTGCTTTAATTAGCAGTTAAGATCTTAGAATTATCAACATTCATTTACAAGCAAACAGTAAACGAGCTTAAGTTCTTAAAACAGTTGGCTCTGTTAAATATATTCACTGAGCGGTTTCACTTGAGCAATTAATTTGCAAAGAGAAAAACCAAAACCAAAAACTTAAGTGATCATAAATTTTCAATAAATATAGTTGAGGTAAGTGAGGTGCTATTATTTGGTCTGTGAAAATGAACAGACTACATTAAGTCTTATGTAATTTTTTCCTGGACTTGGTGGATTTCTTCATTGGGGATCACTCTGTGTTTTCAATCAGAATGTGAGATATTCTCTAGAAAAACAATCATTTAAAATTGTGCAAATTTACAATTTAAAATTATGTCTAAAATCCATCTTATGTTTAATATCTTTCTACTTAGGTTGACAATTGATGCTGAGTGCCAATTACAATTGCACAACTTTCCAATGGATGAACACTCCTGCCCCTTGGAGTTCTCCAGTTGTAAGTAATATTCCTTCTCCATTTGTATCCTCCCTCACCTACAGTCTTTCTGATTGCCATGTTAATTAATTGAAAGAAGCATAACAAATTTCAAAGTTGTATTAAGTTATGTTACTGACTTCGATGATTTTGACCATCTCTTTCATCTTAATCCCAGCTTGCTCCGATTAGGGTGATTCCTGCAAAAGAAGGGCTGATTTTATTAAGAATTACAATAGGTTTCCTTGAGTTGCAAACTTTTAATATATTGGTTGCATAGAGCCTTTTTTTTTTTTGTAAGGGATTGTAAAGCCAACCCTGGACTCAATAGAAAAGGTGCAATCTTTAATTATATATCCTCTTCCTTTCTCTCCTATGGGCCTAGGAAGGGACTATAGCAGCACATTGCTAGTTAAGGCCTGCCCCACAGGACAATTATTTCATTGATAAAATATATGTGAACTACTACTTGACACACATAAGATCAAATATAAAACCATTATTTTTACATTTATTATTTTTATCAGATAGATAATAGAATGTAGCAAGAGGATCCATGATGATCTAACACAGATTATGCTTTAGTAACCTTTACAAATATTTCCTGCCTGAATCAAAGCCAAGCAAACCTAAATTTCCCAAAACATTTTCCTTACTATTTGTTCAGCATCCATGAAAGGTCAATTGCTTCTTTTACATTTTTTGTCTGCCAGTTGTACATATTGGACAGAATAAAAATCTGATTATAGATTTTAAAAGTATGTTTGTAGAAATGTAATTTCTCAACCAGGGAGTCCACCAAGTCATAGTAATCACAGTTTGAAAAACGTTGATGATCAGAGAAGTAATCACCTGTTTATCACTTCATCAATACCAGAGGAAACCAGAGGAAAAATATCACTGGACATCATATTTACCTAGAAAAATTCTCATTATAAAACTTATTTCATGTTTTCCTGAATCCAAGAATGAAATATATTTAATTATAAAGTTAAAGCTTCCCTGTGCTTTAGAGAGATAAGCCTTCCTTTCTTTTAATACTCCAATTGGGACTACTTCTTTCTTGCGTCAGCTAAAATTCAAGAACTGTTGATTTCTCTGCCATCAGGTGGCCAGTTGAAAATGATCCTCTGAACCCAAACACAATTTAATATTACTCATTGCTATCAGAATAATTCAGTCACCAGCACATTCTCTGCCTCATATCATCATTTTTGTTGTTGTTGTTGTTGTTTTGTTTTGTTTTGTTTTGGACAGGGTCTCGTTCTATTGCCCAGGCTGGAATGTGCAGTGGTGTGATCTCGGCTCACTACAGCCTTCGCTTCTGGGGCTCAACTGATCCTCCCACCTTGGCCTCCAGAGTAGCTGGGATTTCAGGCACGCACCACCATACCCAGCTAATTTCTGTATTTTTTGTAGAGATGGGGCGTCGCCATGTTGCCCAAGCTGGATATTATCACTGTTTTCCTCAATTTTCATCACATACTATCATATCTCTCTCCATCCCCTCCATCCCTTCTAGGGACTCTCTCTTTTTTTTCCTCCCTCTTTAATTAATATAAACATATAATAGATAAAGCTGCATCAAAAGGAACAGAAAGGGGGAACTATGTGGGATTTTATTCCAAGTACTCAATCAGTGTTCATAATCAAACTAATCTTTACATGGCATTATTATTTATTATCACATAATAATTAGTATTATTAGTAGACAAACTGTTAAAATGATTTCTGATTTTTATTTATTTTCTTGAAAAAGTTAATTCTGCAGTTGACTTCATAATAATGTTTATCCATTCAACAAATATACATTGACCATCAATTCTGTGAGATAAGTACTATTATCCTCCCTATAAGAGGACAAACAATTTAGGAGGAAAAATATACACTTGTCCAGGGTAGAATGGCTGGGAAATGGTACTCATAACCACTACTTTATCTCACCTCCCCAGTGTGATGTCTTCAATGAATACTCTCTGTTCTATTAGTACAAGCTCATTGATATCTTCCTCTTAGCATTTCTACTTACTACTGCTTTGAATTGTGTATTTCTGTGTATATTAAAATGGAGTCCCAACAAATTGAGAAAGAAAGATAATAAATAATTTAGGTTACGTTTTCCAACTATCTTCCACTTCAAATGCATTCTTTGGAGAAGTTTTGAGTCTGTACTGTCTTATTATTTTCTGTTTCTATGTGACTCAAAATCTTGCTCTGTTAACTGCCTTTCACTGTGATACAAGACTTTGTATTTCTACTATTTATTATAGACTGGTCACTTGGTATGCACTATTCCAGATGATGTAAAGTATGCATATGGCATATATAAAATCACATGTAGTATACCTTCTATGTCATTTAAATTATTTTCAAGAGTAAATTTGACCTTTGGATTTTTGAATCTAACTTCCCATTAGGATGCAAAGTCATTGCAATTTATGTTCTCATTGCAATGCCCTTTGGTCCAAGATCCTCATTTAGCTTGTAACTATCTTTCTCAGTCTTTACCTCAGTGTCATGTTCATAGAAGATGGTTGCTACATATGCTAATTTATAATCATTTTTAATGTGAGCTTTCCTATCTCACGGCAGATGGCTATCCACGTGAAGAAATTGTTTATCAATGGAAGCGAAGTTCTGTTGAAGTGGGCGACACAAGATCCTGGAGGCTTTATCAATTCTCATTTGTTGGTCTAAGAAATACCACCGAAGTAGTGAAGACAACTTCCGGTAAGATGCACTGGCAAAGAATTTCAAGTGACCCTTCCAGAGTTGAAATTTTGGTATATATGAATTAGAAGATTTTTCAATACCTCTCAATGAATGATAATCAGAAAATTAAATGAAGTGTTTTAACTTTCTAGAGAAAATTATAATTGAAATTCAAGTAGAATAGATAAATATAAATATATTCTACCAATATGGGAAAATTGGATTCAAATTGGATTAGTAAATTATTCCCTAATTTATTTAAGGAAAAATGAATATAATTATGAAAAAATAAAATATTTATTAGATGTACCTGTTTTAGAAAGTATGTTTCATAATGTAGTGAAATCGCCACATTTCACACAGGAAGAGTGAATTTTTTACAAATGCAGAAAAGTAAGCATAGTGGATATGGACCCATTCTCCATTCAGTAGTTTAATATTTTAATCTTATCCATCAGTGGATAATAGAACAAGCCTTGAGTATCAGACAGGATTGGGTTCAAATTCCAATTGCATCAGTTATAAGCTATAGACATTGGGCAAATGTATTGAATCTCTGAGATCAGCTTTTCCAGATACCTAATGTGCATTAAAAAAAATTGCATCACAGGAAGACAGTGTGTATGCAAAATATAAATGAAATGAAATGCTTAGAATGATAGCTGGCACATAGTGAGCACTTGGTCATTAGTAGCTCTTACTAATATTAATTATGATTATCAGATGTGCATGATAATATGGTCAGGAATTGAGATTTAAGACAAGCTAAAAGTAAATATTTTTATATTAAATCTCATGATTTGTAATAGTTATCAATTGTTGATTTAAAACCCTCTGTCGGGCAAGTTAGATATGTTTCCAGACCAGATATGTTTCTGTCTCATGGGTGGCCAGTTTGAACTCTCAGCAATGTTGCTTATATCCTCTATGTAGATTAATCCAACTACTCTTTTTAAAATTATGTTAATTTACATATGTTCGAATTTCAAATACAAACATTGTGTTCTCAGCTTACCATCTATTAAGATGTCATTTGAAGCATATTTCCAAGAGTTGAGGTGTTTGCTGTTGATTTAGTCACAAACACCTGATTATTTTCTAGAATTCATAGGAAATATTTTTTGCGTATGGAATAATTTGGAATCAGGCCTTCATCTACTTTACAGAGAGAAGCAAATAAAGGACCTACACAAAGATGGAAATTTATGATTCGATTCTACTTTCAAAAGTACCATCCTTCAAATCAAAGAATTATCTGGCTGTAACATTGTTTTGAGCATTTGCAACTGTCTCCTAAAGGTTCTTTTATTTGGAAAAAAGAATCTGAAAGAAGGTCATAGTAATGCTTGAGTATATTATTTTAAAATGGCCTTCTGTTCCATTATTTGCAAGAAACCTGACCATCAAGTATTAGTAGAACAATCTTTTTTTTTTTTTTTGAGAAGGAGTCTCGCTCTGTCTCCCAGGCTGGAGTGCAGTGGCGAGATCTCTGCTCACTGCAAGCTCTGCCTCCCGAGTTCATGCCATTCTCCTGCCTCAGCCTCCCCAGTAGCTGGGACTACAGGCGCCCACCACCACGCCTGGCTAATTTTTTGTATTTTTTAGTAGAGACGTGGTTTCACCTTGTTAGCCAGGATGGTCTCGATCTCCTGACCTTGTGATCCGCCTGCCTCAGCCTCTCAAACTGCTGGGATTACAGGCAAGAGCCACCGCGCCCGGCCTAGAACAATCTTTCATCTGGTTCAAAAAGGAAAAGTTCAGGATTGCCTTAGAACTGAAGTCTTCCATTGGCGAAAGAAAACACATACACACACACACACACACACACACACACACCACGTAAAATTAATCTCCAGTTCTTCATGCTTCCAGAATGAGAAATTGGGCATTAAGTTCTGTTGTATATTCATATTTCTATAATTATTCCAGCACTCTAAAACAGAACCCACAAACTCGTGACTAGAAGATTTCTTGTTTAGTTGTTTTGAGCCCAAGAGTGGTATGAAGAACTAATGGTGGAGACAGAAGGGTTGATTTTACATCACAGAGCCCAACATTACCACCTCCCCAATGTCTCGTGTGGAGGATGATCTAGGGAATTTACTATCTATTAGGAGACACTTGTGGGAGAAAATTATCTACTTACTTTAAGCATAGCAAAAATAATTAACAAGGTCTCACAAGGCTATTAATCTTCCTAAGGAAATCACAGCAAAACAGTATTGAAAAGATACTACATTTCACACTGAGTACCATCATGTAACTGATCTCATCAACTCCTTTGTGCATCCTAATATTGTGAATAGCCTTCACAGTTGGCCTTCTCTCCCACTCCTCACCCTGCTGGTTTGTATTTTGTGTGTAGTACTATTTCAACGGGCTCGGTGACGAGAAAGGGCTGAATTGAACATTAGTGTTGATAACGAAAGGCAGGCTGATTTCTGTGACAGCTGATTTTTTTAATGATTGGAAGTTTTTGCTCGATATTTGCTTGATTTTTGATGCTATTCTTATCTTCAAAGCATAGCTGTGTAACTAATGAATGTCTACAAGGAAGTTATGTTTACAAGTTTCTTGGGAAATTATCAGGAGATCAATCTTAGCCAATTATAATGTGACTTTCTTTTAGACTTGTGGTAAATGTATCTCCCTTTAAGATGCCTCTTTTGTAACTGGGGGAGAATATTGCCAAATTGCCACATAGCTTAGTGAAGGATTTTCCAACCTTTATTCATTCAAGCTTTGTTATATCCAAGTAGTGACTGTACTTCTGATTCCTAATTTTTTTCTTTAAATTGATTCATGTGGGTTTTTTTCTTGAATGCGTAATGAATTTTATTATTTTGTTTTAACTTTTAAGTTAGGGGGTACATGTACAGGTTTGTTATACAGGCAAACTTGTGTCTTGGGTGGGGGGTTGTTGTATGGATTATTTTGTCACCCAGGTATTGAGCCAAGTACCTCTTAGTTATTTTTCCTGATCCTCTCCTTCCTCCCAACCTCTGCCTTCCCAAAGACCTCAGTGTCTGTTGTTCCCTTCTATATGTCCATGTATTATCATCATTTAGCCCCCACTTACAAGTGAGAACATGCAGTATTTGGTTTTCTTGTCCTGTATCAGCTTGATAGGGGTAGTGGCTTCCAACTCCATCCATGTTCTTGCAAAGAACATGTTCTCATTTTGTGTGGCTGCATAGTATTCCTTGATACATGGTTTTTTAATGAAGTTAATTTTTTAAAGGAAAGTTAATATAAGGACCATAATTGGAAAACCAGGACATTTAACAAAAATACAAGTGATATAAAAATATGATTAAAAAACAAGTGAATACTCTTACACTTTAAGTGCATATATTTGTGTTCCCTAGACTTTGAATATGTTGAAAAAGAGAGAGAGAGAAAAGGATATTAGAGCTTGAGTAAAGAGCAATTAGTACCAAATCCAGACATTCTCTTTGATATAAACAGAAGAATAGAAGCATTTCATATGAGAGAATTTGCTCACCAGGAAATTTAATGCTATGTGAGAGTCCTTGCATCCACCACCTGAATCATCTCCTTTATTACTACTTTATTTGTACTACAGCTGAGAAAAATATTTCCCCTGTGGTGGGTCGATAAGATTTGAAGAATATTTTTAATTCATTGTCAATATGCTAGAACAGATTCTGGATCCATGATTTCTTCTTCAAACTATAATTCCTTCCTGATTGTTCTATATCTGGTAGAAGAACAACCATTGCCCCAGTGAGCCAGGCGTGAACACTCAGAGTCATGTCTCTGCCTCCCACATCTAATGAATCATGAAGGCACTTATGCTTCTGAAATATCTTGTGTAACTGTCCTCTTTTCAGTTGCCATTGCCACTGTCCTAGTTCATGATTTTGTCTGTTCTCATCTGGAATGTGTCAGTAGCTTATTAAGTTATGTGCCTGCTGTCAATTTCTCTCTCATCTCCAGTCTATGCCTTTCACCTTAATTATAAAAGCTAGCACTTACTAAGCACTAACTACATGCACCATAGCAAGCACTATGTGTAAATGATCTGCTTTCTCATAACCATAGTTAACATTTACTATTAACACAGATGGTATCACTGCAGATGAGAAAATTGAGACTTTGAGGGGTTCATTTTCCTGCAGAAATCAAGGGCAAGCACTGGGACAGAAACTCAAGTGGTCTGCTCTGACATTCATACTCTTAATCACAACACTATTTGACTCCCATCATGGCCCAGTGAGCTGATATATCCCTTCATCATGTCTCAATAATTCAGTAGGTTCAATTGAGCACAAGCTATTGTTTCTAGTATATAAGAATCTGGTCTCAGGAACTTTCCAGTCTTGTTTTCTACAATTTCCCAGCTTGTGAAAGAACCGAACTATTAATATGTTTCTGTGTTTAACTAACCAGTCTTACACTCACATTGAATCTCAATCTCTTTCTGTTTTGAATGACTTCTTAATGCATCACTACCATCTCATCTCTATGACTTTAAGGCTTAAATCAGTGGCATCTCTTCAACAGTGCCTTTGCTGATCTTAATACCAAAACAACTTGAAGCGATTTTTAAGAATGTTCACCACGGGAGTCAGACAGCTCAGGTTTTAACACCAGCTTTGCCATTTACTAGTGGTGTGACTTTATATAAATCATTTAATATATCCGAGCCCAATATCACCAGTATCAACAGGGTTGCTCCAAGGATTAAGAAACATACTACATTAAAAATCTGCCTGACAAGTGGGAAGGACTTGGCAAATGGAAGGCAACAATATTACTGTTATTATCACTATCATTATTATTCCATTAACTCCTCCAAGAGCATTTTCACCCACCTTAAGAAAACATGATTTCTATGTGCCACATTTTCTTAATCCAGTCTATCATTGTTGGACATTTGGGTTGGTTCCAAGTCTTTGCTATTGTGAGTAGTGCCACAATAAACATACATGTGCATGTGTCTTTATAGCAGCATGATTTATATTTCTTTGGGTATATACCCAGTAATGGGATGGCTGGGCACATATACACCATGGAATACTATGCAGCCATAAAAAATGATGAGTTTATGTCCTTTGTAGGGACATGGATGAAGCTGGAAACCATCATTCTCAGCAAACTATCTCAAAGACAAAAAATCAAACACCGCATGTTCTCCCTCATAGGTGGGAATTGAACAATGAGAACACTTGGACACAGGAAGGGGAACATCACACACTGGGGCCTGTTGTGGGGTGGGGGTAGGGGAGAGGGATAGCATTAGGAAATATACCTAATGTAAATGACGAGTTAATGGGTGCAGCACACCAACATGACACTTGTATACATATGTAACAAACCTGCACGTTGTGCACATGTACCCTAGAACTTAAAGTATAATATATATATATATATATATATATATATATATATTTATTTATATAAAATGAAAACATGATTTCTGCCTTGTGTTGCCTGGGCACTTGCTTTACTCCTCAGTCCCTGACCCCTTACTCCACTACATAAGCTTCACAACAGAAACCTTCTTTTAATCATCTCTAAGCCAGTCACCAGACTAATAGTCATAATGGACTATTAACCTGGTGGCTGACTTAAAGGTGATTATAGATAATGGTGGTATTAATCACTTGTGACAATTACATTGATACAACAGTATATCATTCATCAATGAAATACATAATGTGGAATGCTATTATATATATTTTCCATTGCTCATTGTGTTCTCTAAGCTAGAAGAGATTATTCTTTTTGTCATGTTGCCACGGCCAGCTCATCAAATTCTATCCATAATTTTTGACTCTTTTTTCTTCTCTGTTGTCATCCTGAGATGTGGGCTAGAAAAGTGGACAAATGGGTTTCTTACGGGAAACTTACATTGGTGGGATCCTCCTGCCATCATAACGAATCACAAGGAAATATACCACATTTCTCCCAAATCAGAATACCATTAAATCTGTCATATTGTCTTTAGCAATGCATCCAAAACACCAAGGTTTCATGAAACATCTTCATAATTATTTCTGGCATAACCATGTAAATTATTTTCTGTTTTTGTTGTTTTTAATCCCAGTTTTTTCTTAGATTCCATGTTCTAGTTATATTTTCCTGATTTGTATCACAAGGAATATATAACTAGGAAAATGAAAAATCTGTGTACCACTAAATTTATCTTCCTTTCCACCAGTGACATGCAGATCACAATTTCAAAACATCAGCTCCATGGATGAAGTTCATGCTTGTTGCCTGATTTCTAAAGTATACATATACTGTATCTTTACGTGTTGGGCATCATTCTCCCATCATACTGTTCCCTTCCCTGAGATTTTCTTACTATGTTACACCTATCCCAAAGTCTCTGCTCCTATTTATTTTATTATTTAATACCAAGTTCAAGTCCAACCTTCTCTGTCTACATCAATGTTTACATATGAATAAAATGCTTCCTGAAATAGAGAACAATAGCTTCCACCTTTTAGGCTGTTTTAATTTAAATGTCCTTGGTAAGGAGACATGCGTAAAACTTGACTCACGATTTAGATGATATATTTTGGCAGAAAAAAAGGAAAGTTAAAAAGCTACAAGTTAATGGTACTTTTTAAATTGAAGAGGTTGGAAGGGAAACAACAACAACAACAACAACAACAACAAAAACTAAATGAAAATAAAACCTAAATGAAAAAAGAGAAATAAACAACTACAGCACCAATCCTACAGTCTCTTGTTACTCCTGAGTCTCAGTGAGTTGTGAGCCTATTTTTAGTCAATACTAAATTTTTCAAACTACTTGAAGCAGCGTAATATCTTAAAATAAACCAGTGGATGATTGCACAGTAATAGATTTTAATTTTATTTTTAAGCTTCAATTTAGAAAGTTAGCTTTGGTCTCAGGAGAGAAAAGTGTATGAATTATGTAAATAGAGCTGGGCCTAGAGCAGCCATGGGGAAGTCACTTTCCCTCCTTGGGATGAAAGTTCCTTATCTATAAAAGGAGTACATTTGATTAGATGCTTCTCTAAAGTCCTCGTCCTCAGTATTTATTCATAATCCCTGATATAACCAAGGTTACACTGTCAATATCCTAATCTAAGAGCCACTTTCTTTATAAATGAATATTTTTCTAGAATGTTTTTCCTTGATCAAGTTTTCAATAAAATTTCAAAACAAATACAAAAACATACTGCTTGGGGTTTAGGTTTTTAATTTAGAGGAAGCAGTTTTCCCCCCTATCTATTTTGTTCTTAGTGATATGTTATTATACACATTAAACAAAAATGTTAACCAAAAATGATAACCTATTTTCTTTCCATTGTGATTCTGGAACATTTGTATGCTGTGTTAAAAATCACACATTTGGATTTTAAATTCCAAGGTTGTGTTCACACTATCTAGCAGGGAGATAGTTTTTAAGGGGCGGAGGGAGATGGCATAGAGAAGTTCTGTGAAATCAAAGGAAAATTGTCTGGTTTCAAGGTGACACATGTCATTTCTGCTTATGTTCCATTGGCGAGAACTAGTTGCATATTCCCATAGAGATGAACTGAGGTTGGGAAATGTAGCTCAATTTTGGGTTAGGAAAGGACAATGGATTTTATGACTTTCTAGCATCTATGCAATATACACAATGGTATTTTATTTCTCACAAGAAGCTTCTGAGAAAGATATTCTTTTTCCATTTGATAGATGAGGAAACTAAGGTTTAGATGGGCTAAGTTATTTGTTCAAGGATATTCAATGGGTAGAGTTATTTATTCAGATCCACAATTTTTACTCCATAAAGAAATGAATTAAAATAAAAACTATTCCTAAGCTTGATTATAGCTATTTTTACAGAGACATGCAACAATGAAGTATTAGCACTTAATATGGTAGCCATATATATGAATCAACAATATGTTAACCTGTAGGAATACCAATTATCTTTAGATACAGCAAAAGTATAAAGTGAGAAACTTAATTTAGCAATTATATCGTTTCATTTTTCATAAAAGTTATTTACTGCTTATGAGATAGTATTATTTACTAGTTAAGTGGTCATTACTACTCACAAGTTAAGTGGATCTGCACAAGACCATTCAAATCTGACTGTAATTCAAAAATTGTTGAATCCAGTGTATTTGTGAAAACTTGTTCTTTGAAAAAAATCAATTTGAGAGAATATATAATGAAAGGTTTGCATGACTACTATTTACGATAAATTTTAAGATTAATATTTTTGACAGTCTATCAAAACCAACCAGATCAAAAAAGCATTTTTTTTTTTAATCCAAGTTGTTGGTATTTTCTAACCCAGCTGAAAATCCTATTTTGCTACATTTAAGAGACATTTACATCAGTGTGACTGATATAACTAATAGATCTCTAATAAACAGCTACTGCCCCAAAATAAATTTGAAAGACATTTTTTTTTTGAAAATGCAAAAATGTGAGAGAATGAAGACTGAGCCTTCAGAGATGATACTCTACACATAAACTAATTGAAGATTACTTTTACCCTATTTGATGTAAGTGAATGATTCCTTCATCTTATTCTTGCAGTTTCAGAAAATAATGCTATTCAGCATTGCAGATACGCACTTTTAAGCATATCACAGACTGGAAATGGGCAGCAAATAGCAATAAGGAAAATGTATTCTTTTTAAAATATTTTACCTTCTTTTCTTTAAAAGGAGATTTTTATGAAGGCCACAACATTGTGTTGCACAACATTCTAGAAAAGAATTTGCTGGGCATACAGATTAGGGGCTGACTAGAGTTTATTTACCATTTTCACCTGCCATTCATGTAATACATTTCATTTAAGAGATCAAGAACATCTAATTTTAGTAGTACATCCAGCAAAACAGAAACAGATAGTAAAACCCCAAGGAAAAAGGATTGACCAATATGTTAAACATGGTTTACAATGTCACTTTTTTGTTTGCTTTTATTTTTTATTTTATTTTATTATTATTATTATTTTGAGACAGAGTCTCGCTCTGTTACCCAGGCCGGAGTGCAGTGGTGAGATCTCGACTCATGCAACCTCCACCTCCCAGTTCGTGCCTCAGCCTCCCAAGTAGCTGGGATTGCACACGCACGCCACTATGCCTGGCTAATTTTTGTATTTTTAATAGAGACGGGGTTTCACCATGTTGGCCAGTTTGGTCTCAAGCTCCCGACCTCAGGTGATACATCTGCCTAGGCCTCCCAAAGTTCTGGGGTTACAAGCATGAGCCACCATGCCCAGCCTGGTTTGTTTTTGTATAAGGGTATCTCTGCTGTTCAAGAAATTCACAGTGCTTTACAGTTAACATAGAAAAACACATCATAGATGTCTAATTTTTCACATTTCTCTGTTTTCCAATTTATCCACTCCAAAATTAACTACTCTTTTCAGTGCACCATGTTCCACAATGATGACAAGAAGATATACTAAAAAGTTCTATTCTCTTAAAATTAGTTCTTCTTCCATGCCCACTACAAACCTAATTGTTTTGCCCATAAGCACTTCACTAGCAGCTTTATAAGATGATATCTTTCTTTAGAAACACTGGAGTACAATAAATAAGTTACATTGCCAACAAGACTCAAAGATGAAAGCTTCAGTTTAGACAAGTGAGTTTACTGGATTAGTTTCCAAACATAATTTGTAATCTGCCTATACTCACATGACTAATAGCACCATGTACCAATGATATACTTTCATCATTACATCTATTGTTCATTGCTAAGTGGTGAAGAGTTATGTAGTATCAAAGACAATGTGTAATTCACAAACTGTGTAACGGTTCCTTGTTAAAGAGGTAATGCAATCATGGACACCAATTGTAATCGCCTACTGATCACATTTCCTTATGGGTGGTTTCTTGTTACCAGTATTAGTGACTAAGAGTGAAGTAGAATTGGTATAAAAATAAAATTTTAGGGCTAAATCTTAAAGACCAAGCCCAGTTGTAATTTCACTTACAGGGAAATTACTCCAAAGAGGTAAAGTCAGAGCTTCTGAATTTTGACAGCCCATTATTTGACTCCTGCCTATAGCAGGGTCTTTAGGATGGACAGAGTTAAATTTCATTTTATTTCTCAACTAATAATAAACAACTGATAATTTTCATGGGAAATTTAAAAGATTCTTATATCCTAAACATCTGAGAAAGCCCTCATTCCCATGTAAAAATAATTATGTAGAGCTGAATTATCACCTGTCTCAACATGTGGGTAATACAATCTCCAGTTTACCAAAGTCTCTACTACTCCCTGTCCTATTTCCTATTTTTGGAGTTATGTTTTCTTCTTGAGTTACTGTTTTCATATTTTGGAAAGCAATGTGTAGGTGTATCGCTATAAAAATGGGGAAAATTAGAGATAATTAATATGAGATAGCATATGTATCTGTAGAGATGAAAAATATTATTTTATCTTTTAAAATAAAAGATAATGGGAGGCTGAGGCAGGAGAATCGCTTGAACCCAGGAGGCAGAGGTTGTGGTGAGCCGAGATAGCACCATTTGCACCCCAGCCTAGGCAACAAGAGCGAAATTCTGTCTCAAAAATAAATAAATAAATAAGATAAATAAAGGGCAAAGAGGATTTTTCTATCACAAAATGACACTCTAAAAAATGAATGCTAAAACTATGACTTAACCAAAGTTTGCCTGAAAATAAAGATTAGGTGAATTGCAAAGAAGTGCCAGAATTTTGTCAATCTAGATCTCACCTTTTGACATTCTGCAACTGGGCTTATGTATCATAAATATCTAACATAAGCAATGTTAAGTTCATTCAGTTTATCTCTACTGTCCACTTTCATGGAAGATGGATTTTGAATAAAAATAAAATTGCAAAGTTCTATATATGGACATCTGTGCCTGTAGTCTTCACCGTCTTTTAGTTTCTTTTCCAACTCACATGTAAGCAGCTAAAAGCTTTGTTGCCGTTTTTGGTTTGTTGCCGTTTTGCTTTGTTGTCGTTTTGCTTTGTTGCCATTGTCTTGCACATTAGCAGTCTTGCATTGTCAATCAAACTGATACTTTGTCCCTTTGTAGTTTTCTGAAGATCTACATAGTTAATGTTCTGCAATAAAATCCTATTCTTTACTTACTTTGATAAAATGAGGCAGCTGTGTATAGAGCTCTGCATACCCTATGATTCCCATTTAAAGGTTTCCATTTTGGTTGTGGTATCATGTAGCTGAATGACCTTAAGGAAGTCATTTTCTCTTTGAACCTGCAATTTCTTCATCTCAAAACAAATAAAAATCAGACTAGACTGATTTTGAAGGTTTACTTCACTCCTGAAACACTGTGTCATATTTCCTGGTATTTAACATCTCTGTTACGAAGCAAACATATGGTGGGTATTTGCGTTCTCTATGTCCCCTAGAATTCCTAACAAAACTTTTATCATGTTTTCTTATTATGTCACATTCAGAAATTAACAGATTTACTTTGTCTGTCCCGTGTGGAGATCTTAGGTGAGGGAAGGGGACCAGGGTGTTGCCATAGAGATGGTTGATAAGTTAGCTAAGGTCTGATAAAATGAATTCAGCATGGAAACATAGACCTGCCATGAGTGGGAGGAGCAAGGGTGGATGCTAACTGAAATTACTGTGAATGAGAAATTGGGGATGGGGTGAAGGTAGGACAGTGGCTGTGACATGGCTTTCAGAGAGGAAGGAAAAGATACTCAGGTCTTCAAACAGGAAGAAGATTTGCCATCAAGAGTGCATAAAAGGACCTTAATTTATTAGCCTATTATTTTGTTTTTAATATCTTAATTGTATAAATTGGCTGAACTTGTATAGTCCTGTGAGTCGGCAGTCAAAATAATAATGACACCACTACCTCTAAAATAATAATGATAATGATAATAATGACAATATGTGCTAACATTGTGAAGCACTTTCTATACATCAGCTCATTCATTTTTCACAGCCATTCCATAATATGATGCTCATTTTCCAGATGAAATTTCCAGGTACAACCAACCTTGTAGAAAAGTTGACAGAGAGGGTAAGAACCTTGTGCAATATCATGGTGTAAGTTACTGAATAGACACTCATCTTTCCTGACTGACAGTCTGATTCCAATTATGAATTAAACACCAAGGGGTGTGCGTGCATGTGTGTGTGTGTGTGTGTGTGTGTGTGTGTGTGTGTTTCCAGAAAGGATTACTCTTGGCCCTATTTCTTTATCTAGTGTGTAATTTATGTTCCTGTTATTGTTTTGGCATCTATCCATCTACCAATCTATCTATCTATCTAATCTATCCTTTATCTATTTATCTTAAGCTGATTGCATATAAGTATGGTAGAGTCAGTCTGTATTGGTCAGCTTAATCTAGACAATGCTATGGTAACAAATAACCCTCAAAATCTCAGTGGATTAAAGTAAGAACAATCTCAATTGTTCTACCTCCAGTGTTTCTTTATTCTGTGGTATATCATTCTCATAGCCAAAAGGGGAAATAATAGAAGAGTAAAATTGTCCTTAAAACCTCTGCTTTGTGGGTCTTAAGTAATTTTGACTCACATTCTACTGACCAAAGCAAATCCCAAGAACAAGCCTGATGTCCATGGAATAAGATGCACAATGCTTTCACACAAAGGGGCACCAGGGAAGGCCTCTATAGGGATGGACTTTGTAGGCAGGGGAAGCAAATATCTGGATTACAAAACTGTCACCAACAATTAACAATAGTATAATCCTTTATACTATACATGACTCACCTACCTGGCCATGTCGGAGGGGCCCAGTCACCAGATCTCATGGAGTCTTCTCTAGAAGTAGTGGGGCAGGCAATACTCTGTGACATTTAATTCTGCAATATGGGACCATAACTTTGACAAAGACCTTAGGGAGGTTGAAAGGAATTCCTAATCACGTGAATGGGGAATAGAGTCCCAGGCTTGTGATTTGCCAGTTTTGGTTTCTGTTGGTTTTCAGATCCCAAGATCATGTGCCAGGATAAGTTACTTTTAAAAAGAGAAAGGAATACCATACTCTCAGAGAAAATACTGCCCAAGAATGAAAATGTCTGTCTGAGAATTATCCTCTCAAAAAGAGATTGTTTTGGGTCAAGACTGTCTCACTCTGTCAGTGACCTATAGCATGATTTCTAATTTATGTAAAATTGGTTTCAGAAGAGCAGGTGAGAACACATGATATTAACATGAAAATGATTGTAGGGTGATGGGAACAGTCATATTTTATAAACATAAGCAAAATTTTCTTTGTTGTACTGCTGGGACAGCTTTATTAATTACAAGTCCAAAATATTGGTCCTGTACTAAATTCAATTTTACAGTTATTATTCGGTGTTAACTTCTAAGAAGCGATAAACCAGAATCATCTCCTTGTCAGTAGGAGGAAGTAATTGAAAATGATTTAATAAAGAATGGCTACAAAATAATGTAAAGGTCACATTGTCTTGATTGTTATTATTCTTTTCATGGAAAAAAAAAATCCTTAATGTCTCTAACAGTCCTGTGTAAGAGGAAGATATTGTCAAAAAGAGTAGTTTCAAGCAACTTTTAAAATCTTTTCCTGTATTTAATCTTAACAATTGAGCTACGATTTAACCTTTTCTTTAATGAAGCATTCTTAATTTTGTTCCTCTGTTTTATAGATAAAGTACATGAAGCATAGTGCTAACAATAATTTAAAATATTGCCATATGGCTAGTTATGAGTAGAACTAAAGCTAATTAACAAGTGTAGGGGACCCCAAGCAACTGTTCTCTCCTCTACCCAAGACTGAATTAGTACAAAACAGAATTGCCATTTCATTGGTTGACATTGAATAATTGAGTACTAATAGATATTTTGGTCCTAAAAATCTGCCACTGTTAATATATGCACAGATAAGTAGTGTTGGTAATGATATGGTGATGATAATGATGATGATGATGACGCAGATGCTAAAGCCAACTTTTGTTGAGCATTTCACATATGAAAGACACCGTGTTACGCGCTTCACTAGAACTGTAAACTTGCGACAAATTTTTGCAGGTTTTTGAATTATGGATTCAAATCCTGAGCCAGTATTTGATTTTAGACTCAGCCCCAGAATTTTTGTTGAGTCTTATTTGTAGGTAGTGGTGATTTGGTATAGCAGTTTTGTTTATTTTTTCTCCTCAACTCTTTTTCTGCCATCCATGGTAGTTTTATCAAGGAAAAAAAAACCCAAACTATTGCTGTTCATAGAGGTTCTGATGGTGTGTGTGTGTGTGTGTGTGTGTGTGTGTGTGTCTGTAATAAACATAATAAAAACACGTATTTTCAAGGTACTCATGCCAATTATATACTGTAACAGCCTGATAGGTTTTATTGTTTGCAGTTAATGGCAAGAGTTTTGATAATTAACTCTAACCTAATATGTCTAGTTTTCTTTTTATAGAAACAAGAGTGAGGTGGTAACAGGTGTATCTTGATCAAGGACATTTAAAATCCTTCCCATAACTGGACATATTATCTCTGTCTCAAAGGAAAACTCTGGGTATAATTACATAGGTGCTGTAATAGCAAAACTAGGCTAGAAGTAAAAAGATCTGGCTTTAAGTCCCAGGTAAACTTATAAACATGTGAATATATTTGAGCAAAACTCTCTCTATATATCTATATCTATATCTATATCTGTGCCAGTAAGCAAATTGACACATGAAATAAATGAATCATTTCTCCCAACTCCACAAGGAACAAGGCTGAGATTGTGACTCAAGTTCCTACTTCTCACTCCTGGGTTCCTGTGATCAGATTTTGTCATCGGGACTTAAGAAGGATGACAAGCTGATAACAATCTAGGGTATTATTAAAGCGACACAAAAGGCAAAATTCTGACTTTTCTGCAACTTTGGTGGAAAATTGCTATTAAAAGATGAAGGCTAAATGTGGAAAGGAAAGGATAAAGAATGCTATACTCAGAGGAAGACAGAGGAAGGTCGTATTGGGATGGCCCCTAGGATTAATGCACTTTAACGTAAAGTGAAAAAGGGACTTGTAGCATTGGACTGTTTTGAAGTCCCCAGGGGCATTTGAGAATGCTGGACCCAGTTAAATGCAGTCCTTTAAGTCATTTGAGAATTGAAAATTAAACTTTCAGATAAGGAATATAGGATGAAAGACAATTTGAAATTAGACTCCACACAGAGATATAGAGAAATATTTAAGAGAATTATCCTTTCATATTAAAACATTCAGTGCGTTCTCTTGTCTATATGTAGGGATGCAAGGAGAATTACAAAACTCTGCATTACCTCTAGTCTCTATTCTGTCTGGGGCTGAGAGAAACAAATGCTTATTTCCTCCTGAAAACTGATAACCTATTTTCAACTTTCCAAATTTCTCTCCAGATAATTTCTGTTTACTTCAAGAGTTCATAGTTACCCAATGTTGTAATAATTATTAACATATTTTATTTGTTGAAAACTACTGTGTGCAGCAAACTACCCATAGCAATTCATTTATAGTATATCATAATTCTCTTAAGAACTTTGAAGTAGATATATGATCACTACCCTCCTTTTAGAGATAAGTTTCTTGATTATTTATTCTGGGCCTCCCATGTTCCCAAATAGGGTTCAAGAAGGTAAATTTTCCTTGAGCAGCCCACAGTCCAATGAAATGACAATGATCGAGATGTAACTGAACTTTAGATAATTTTTATATGAATCTCTATGTGCTGAGACTGATGAAGCACCTACCTTACACCGAAGTCTATGCTTTTTACTACAACGGAGCACATCAATGCCTACATGCTTCAATAGCATGTCATTCCCATTTTTATTTTTTTCTGAATGAAGAAATCATTGTCCTAAATATACCTTAATTTCTCAAAATACCTTAGGATATGTTTGGAATATAATTTGAAGGTATTGGTATAGTCATAATGCTGTTTAAGAGCTATTGTAGTTCTTAATTGTGACGGTTTCAGGGGCTTACTTTAGCAAGCTGCCTACTTCCACCCACTCCTCTTCCTGGCATTTGGAATGATCGCCCCCATGCTTGCCATGCCTAGTGCCTCTCAGACAGAGGCTGGTGGGAGAAATGTATCTGCAGCGTCCATCTGCCAGCTCCATACTGAAATAACTGGGGTTTACTTGAGCAGCCTTTGCTGAAACCTCAGACAGTGGTAAAGGTGGTGTTTCCATAGTTGTGCCAACTTAACATTAAATCAGGTGCTATATGTTTTATACTTGCCTTTCCCTGTCTTTTACATTCAATTTTTGGCCCATGGAAGTACCAGGCACAACCTTTGCACCCATACATCTGTCATCTGTCTGTAATTCTAGATATGATAGTCATTTGATGTTGTGTCCAACAATTCCATCTTCCCTCATTCTCTCAGGGGTTCTTTCTGAGGCCTAGGAGAATATAATATAATAGATCACACTCAAAGGGAATATTAAGCTCTTTTTGAGATTATTACTCTAGCATTGAAGTTTCATGTCTAAACCTGAGGTTATGCCTACTTGAATTCTCTGTACAGTGGAGATATTAGAGAGTTGCAGTTAGGACTCAAGAACTATAGCTTTTTCTTGACTATTCATCTTTCAACATAAGATGTAGACTTGGGAGGATTCTGGATGCAGCATCAGATAATAGAGACGGCATGTGAGCTCTCATGCCACCTCTGCAAGCTGCATGAACTCAGGCAGTTTCTAATCTACCTTAGCCACAGTTTACATGCCTATAAATAGAAAATAAGTGTTCAATTTCTCTGACCATATAGGATCCTTGCAATTATTAAATGAGATTAAAGTATATGAAAATGGCTCTGCAATTGCAAAGCACTATATAACTTTACAGGACCATTTAAACTGAATTATACAAGAAGAGAACTAGCCAGTTTAGATTAAGAATTCCCATTAAAACCTGGTAGTAAAAGCCAGCATTGCTTTCTTTAACCAAGATATTATTCAATTAGATACTTTGTTCATTATTTGTTTAGTATTTGCTGAGCACATATTGTATATAAAAGACTGTATCAAGGGATATCAGGTTCAAAGTTAAACAAGGCAAGGATTCCAGTGTTAATAAGTTTAAATTCTTACTTATTCATGCGAATCATTATAAACTGTAGAAGCTCTACGCTTTTTACTGAAACCTCCCTCTGTCAAAAGTATGGACCAATGTCTGTGGCAATTTGAAGAGTAGATGCTCGTGAGTCATTCCATTGCATGTCCACATACTTCTGCTGAGTTTAATATTCATCTAGAGTCAGTTGTGTTTCTGTCCAAACCTGTTAATGAATGTTGAACTATTATTTCAATGATACAATTTAAATATTACATAAGGCTATATAATTAGGTGTGAGCTAATTATTTGTAAATGCTTATAAAACAGTGCATATTAGAAAGAATGTTTACACTTGATCTTTTTAAAATTGATGAATTTGAGTGTGATTTGTATATGAATGATGACACTTGGATAACCAGTTGGCAGACTCTAGTTCAAAGCAAAGGAGCTTTGGATCTATTTTTTTTAAATGGTGGACAAAGTGTGCATTTTGTAGATTTTTAGTTAAAATGCATTTTGAAACATTGTATAAATTATATTCATTAATAACTTATAAAAGACTCCTTTTCACCAACTGACCTAGTACAAGCTCTTTTTGTATTTGATAAGAAGGTTTCTCCTTTATAAGACTGACTGTAGATATAATGCCATGAACATCCAATTTTATGTTTATCTCCTTAGCAACTAGCTTAGTGCCTGGCACATAGTAGGTGCTTTTTAAAGACATGCTGGAGTTGAAGGAGGTAACTAGAAGAAAGATCATGAAGTGGAAGCATTTGAAATGAATCTTGCAAATAGGGAGAAATTGGGTTTGATAGTGTTGTGGACAGAACAGAAAGAGCATCAATGTGTCCTCTTAAGATCACGGGATTATCATTTAATGTAATTGAAGGCATTTGAATTTCTATATCTATAAAATGTAGAATAGCTAGCAGTCAAAGGGTCATATAGAAACTATGCATGCATAAATAAATCAGTGCTGTCATTAACTTTCCAATATCTTAGTGTCACTGAAGGCAAAAGTCAGGTTTAAAAACATTCTTAACTTTAAATTACATAAGAAGCATAAGAAAATTTGTGAAATTGGAAGAGTTCCAGACATATATTTCTTAATTCCTCTAGAATACACACAAACACATAAAAATAAATGCTTACTTTAAAATTTGACAAGATATATATTTATGTAACTTGAACTAATTTTAAATTATTTAGAACCAAAATAAAAGTTGCATTGGCTAAACAGCGAGGAAGTTGAATACTTAAACGCAATTCATAGAACCTATATCCTAATAACTATGAGTTAGGCCTCTGCTGCGGTGTTGCACCTATTAAAAGCAAATCAAAACAAGCCAAAAATAAACAAATTGGACAAATGAAAACACACATATACAAATTTTAAAACAGACAAAAATAACTGAATACATTTAAAAAATTAAATGATTATAGAATTTACTTCCACTGAGTATATTAAAAGAATAGATAATCTATATAAACCGTTCGTTACACATATTATTGAAGGGTTCCATCACTAGTATTGAGACATTCAGGAATAGTCTGTTTTATACTTCAGATTATTTAATGTTTTTTATCTTCATGACAGACCACCCATTATATTTCAATTGTCTTGAAATATAATTTTAAAAAGAGAGAAAAGATGAAAGATCAAATAAAGCAAAAAAGAAAGACTTTCACAAAGATATCTCTAGATAAATGGCTTCATCAGTAAATATATTTAAACATTAAAGAAAAATAGTATTCTTATACAAACTACTTGAGAATGGAAAAGATAGAGCATGAATTTTGAGCCCATTAAAACCTAACATAATAGTCAAAGACTTTGTAAAGCAAATAAGAAAATAAAAAAAGAAGGAAGGAAAGGAAAGAAAAGAAAACATTAAAATTACCTTATTTTGTTGATTCTTGTTTATGTTTATTTTTCATTTTAATATCTCTAAAATTTAGACATTTAAGAATAAATGCTATAATATCTTGCACTATATATCTGGGAGTAGCTTCTGGCACAGTCAAGAAAGTACCAATATGAAAACAGCTTAGAATATATTCAACATGAAAATCATTGTATATTTGAAAACAAAGTGTTTAATGATAATTAAAAGATGACTAAATGTTTTAATATTCTATAAAGAGTTAACTAATCATATCTGAGAAAAAAGAAGGGATAGATATTATTTGTTTTCTATCAATAAAATCTGTAAATCATCCTCCTGATATTTTTTTTTCTAATTTCTATTTCTTCACACTTCAAACATTAAAAGTCAAAGATGCATTTGTTTGGAATTAGTCATGGATAAGATATAATCATCTTTATTGGACTCTAATAATGTTCTAGGCATATGAAACCTTTATTTATCTAATTATCTAATTATTTTTGCATGATGATGGTATTGTCATACCACACATCTATATTTAAACAAATTTTCATATGGAACTTGATAAGCATTAACCAATAAAAAATAATTATGCATTCTCAAAACAAATAAAAAAATTTAGTTGAGCTCAACCTGTCTTGGGAGTTACAGCAAAAAGAAAAAAGTAACATACTTGTGTAAGTGTGTGTCTGTTTACATATAATCACATGTATATTTTTAAAGACTGACAGTAGCTTCTTTTCATTGGGTATTTACTATGTGTCAGGATCTGAGCTAAGTGTTTTATGGCATTACTCTATTAATCATTGTAGTAGCTATGAGGACTTGTGTTATTATTATTCTATAGGAGAGAAGCAGATTTAGAGAAGTTAAGAAATGTACCAGTGGGTCACATAGTGTGTAGCAAAGCCAAGACTTGTAAATGGGCCTGTCTACCTCCAAAGAATGTGTCCATAACCACTGTGTTAATGTTTTTGTTTGTGTGTGAAACATTTAAAATAATTATAACTATAGAAGCAACATCTTCAAACGACTGGTCATCAGGAAATCTGGAAGAAAAGTGATTCTCTTTTATCCATATAAGCAAAATGCAGCAATGAATGATGAATCAAGGTGAGGAATAACTAGGGTTAAAGCAATGCTCAGTAGAGGGCCTGAGAGGCATGAGGAAATAAAGAAGCTTCCCCAGAGAGAAAGTGTTTGAGCTGGGTCTTATCATGAGATTTCAAATAGCTAAAGAGAAAAAAGGGGCATTTAGGCCAGGATAGTAGTATAAATAAAGGCTATATGGCGGAATGACCAAGTGTTTTCAAGTGATTGTGAATGTTTTTGTTTAAGAGTCCAATTGGCAACACCATCTTCTTGCCTCCCATGTTCTAAAACAATAGAAAAATACAACAAATAAAGTGAGTAGAAAGTGACCAAAGCATCATCTTTTTTACTGATATTCCTGATATTGAAACATTTTGCATATACCTATGAGAGAAATTGCTTTATAATATTAAACTCCAGAACTAGAATTACCTATCTAGCAGAATCAGAATTACTCACCCCTAGAAAAACAGCATAGAATAGGTATGCCCTTTAGAGAGGCCCTCCCGAGAAAAAGGAATAGGAAGGAATGCGGCAATGCACATTCAGTTTTGTTTTGTTTTGTTTTTTGATTTTGTTTGTTTGTTTGTTTGTTTTCCTCCAGGGTGGAGTTAAAGGACAGAGAGAGGCTGGTAGTGTTATTCTAATGAAGTTCCTTCACAGGGAAGGAAACATGAGGAGTGAAGAAAAAGCATCCCTCCACCTAGGCCAGACTTGAAAATCTGCATTTAGAATCTCAAAAAAGCACTATTTCTTAATGCGCCGCATGACACACAGTGCTAGAGATCCAGTCCTTTATACCTAGCTCTTTCTAAATATTCCTAATAGCTAATAAATAGAAGAATTGAAATACGCTTCTGCAAAATGATGCAAGGAATCTCATAAGTCACCAAGAAAGGGCATTACCTACACATAAGAGCAGTCTCAAAATAAATAAGATGCAGTTTTTGCTGTTCTTTCTGGTATAAAGAGATG